>NT_187544.1:0-158965 GCF_000001405.40 Homo sapiens | reverse complement strand
GAATTCTTACATAAGAGTTCTAAACTATTGCACATAGGGAAAAAGGAAATGGTGATTGCATTCTTATATAATTTGAAACCCGAATTTAAGGTATGCTTATTAGGAATTAAATTTTGTAACATATTTGCAAATAAATGCCAGAATATTTACATGTAATATATCTGTATTATATATTGCCAATAATAGCATCATTAGAGTAACAAATAATTCTGGAGTGAAATAGGGCAAATTTTCTCAAAGTGCAAGTTAAAGTAGAATTCTAAAGTCAAAATATAAAGGAAAATTAAAGTCTGTGTTCTCCAACAAAAATATCTTACAAGATTGTCATCAATGCTTATCCTCAACTCTCTGGCCCCATTTTTGCTCTCTCTTGAATCCCAAATCTTGGCAAGGCTTTCAATGCTTAACAGCCGTGCTTAATTGCCAAAGATTTATTGAGTGCTTAGTACCAACTTGGCACCTGTTTTTTCTTTTCTAGAAATTACATATAAAATATATTTAAGCCACTAATATGTATCACACAAATGCATGCATGACCCATAAAATAACTGTCAAATGAAAATCTTTTATATCCTGCAAACTCAGATTTCATCTAATTATAGTTGATGGATAAGGCACATAGAAATTAATTCTTTCTCTAGAGGTCCTTGAAAATGTCTGAAAAACAAAATTTTTAAGTATTGTTTTGAATTAAATTTAATCTAATATTTCAAAAATTTAGTAAGAGCAAATATTCTATTGTTTTCTTTTTACTACTTTATTTCATTTAACTACAAGAAAGAAGAAACAACTAGATCAGAAACCAGAAATTTCAGTTGAGTGCTATTTATAAAGATTAAAAGAAAATTGGCCCACTTTTTCTTTTCCCGATTCTCATTTGAGGGTTGCTTTTCAGTGTAGTTAGGGGAAAGGAAAATAACATAAATATTTCATTACAGAGAGGATAGGAGGAAATCAAATGTAATATATAAAAATGAAACAAAAATAAAATAATGAGAAGCCAGTGAGAGTAACATATGGATGAACAAGAAGCCAGTGAGAGGAACAAATGAAAATGTGAGACTTTGGAATGTTGCCCTCTTTTCCCCAAAAATATAGAATGAAAAGAGAAAAAGAAAATGTGGATGCATCACAGCACCCACCAGCCTGTGCCTCCTAGCCAGTTGCAACTGACTAATGCCAGTTGCAATTGACTAATGCAAGTTGAAATGCAATTATTTTTCTTGAAATTGGAAAACTTAACTGTCATTACTTTTAAAAAGAAGTTGAAAACTTTAACATTAAAAACAGCTCCTCTAATAACAAGGAATACATTCATGGAATATCTTACTAGTTCACTTGTTTTGTGAGTAAAGTTATTTTTTCTACTAAAATATATTGATAAACAGTGATAACTAAGAAATTATTACAACATATAATGCTCAAGTTGGAAAAAATTATGTTTCCCAAGATTCCAGGGACTGTGTGTCAAAAATTTAAAAAATTTGGAAAAAAAAGGCATTCTTCTTATTTAAATGTGTAATCTTGATAAGGTAAAAGTAATATTGAAAAGCCTTTAAAGAAAAGTCATTTTAATTTGTTGGTTTTTAGGCAGCCCCTGATTATTGTTGCTTTTCTGGAAAGAAAACACAATTGGACAAGCATGTGAAATTACAACAAAATTTTAAATTATGTTTCTATTTTAAAAGCAGCAAATGAAGTTTTAAATGGTTGCACTAGACATTATACCCATTAGAAACCACAAAAAGATCGGTTACCTCTGACAGTTACTGCATTCACTCATGCAGTATAGTCAAAAGAGAACATCACCCAAACTTTAAAAACATTCCAGTTTAATGATGTAAGGAGTAGAAACCTAAAATATGTTGAAATGCTCTTTCATGTATACTTCTACAAAACCCAAAACTACTGAACTGCAAAACTGAGATAAACCAAGTAGTTGGGTTTGCTATATTGGTTTCAAAATGAAGAACAGAAATTTTAAACTTCATCAAAATGGTAATCCCTGGTTTACCCCCCTCCCGAAAGTCTTGAGTTATACTAGCTAGTTATACTAGCTATCGTTATACTAGCTAGTTATACTAGCCAAAGATACTAGCAGCCTTTATTCCTGGAATTCAACAACAACCTAAATCATATACTTTTTCTCTTTTTAAGGTTATACTCAAGTTGACCATCAATAAATATTTTTCTTTCTTAAATTCATCCTTTAGTTACTAATTTTTCTTATTTTTAATTACCATGTTTTAACATATTTCCTGATAGGTTAAGTTGGGATTCCTCTTCTGGCTATTTCATAAGCGTTGTTTGTCTATGTGCATGAATTTTGGGGAAGGCAGAGGCACTCAAGCTTGAGTGGCGTCTACAACTAGTATTGAGGTATAGTAGGATCATTGGAGATCATCTTGCATGAGAGACTGAAAACCTGCAGGAGAGAATTTTTCCTAAGAGAAAAGAAGAAAGGCAGACAAATCAGGCCCAATAATAAGGCTTCAGGAATCAGAGAGGGGAGACAGATTTCACTTAGTGTTACATGGTGGCAAGGACTCTGTTCATATGAAGTCATGTTTGAGTCTTTTGGTGATGGGCGTAAGTTGTAGGCTAAAGAGCAAGTCATTTAATTAAGAAAAAACAACCCCGTCTGTACTGAAAATACAAAAATTAGCTGGGCGTGGAGGCGGTCGCCCGTAGTCCCTACTCGGGAGGCTGAGGCAGGAGAATGGCTTGAACCTGGGAGGCGGCAGGGCTTGCAGTGAGCCGCGATTGCGCCACTGCACTCCAGCCTGGGCGACAGAGCAAGACTCTGTCTCAAAAAAAAAAAAAAAAAGAAAAGAAAAAAAGAAAAGAAAAAACAAAAGCATTGAGGCAAGCTGCACAGTACTGATGTGATTTACATAGCATGAAAGAGGGGACAGGAAAGCATTCACAAATGTACTTGGTTCCAGGGCATCAAGAACATGAGAAAACACAGAACATCAGTAATAGTCTGTGAGTGAAGAGTGCATTTTTTACTGGGGGTAATGCTAAGGAAATGTTGGGTCAAAGATCTTGATGCCTATTGGCAAGGTTAGGTACCTTTGGGTATACCTGTGACTTGGGGGAGTTCTGTTGCACGCTATCACAGATACCATTGGTTTCTCCATGGAAGTCTATGTAAAGGCAAGAAGATGATAATGTAAGGTGACAGCCAATGGAGCTTACTCATGTGCGTATAAGACATTTTCAAGGACATCTCAGGAATAATTGAGGAGGTAAGAGGCCTTTTGGTCTATAATTCCTACAAAAAAATTTAAAAAGACAGAGAGGTTGCTTGAGCAATAATTTATTTATAGGATTTCATTCTAAACCTGGGCCTCTTGGGAAACAATGCCATTCTGTATTATATGTACTTAATCGCCCCCGAAGCAAATGTGCCAAAACATGAACAATTGGTGAATCTAGGCAAAGGGTGTGAAGATATTCATGGTGCTCTTCTTTCAACTTTTCTGTGCATTTGAAAATTTCTAAAATAAAGAGTTCAAAGAAAAAAGAAATGCATTTTGAACATTCCTAAATGTCAGTTTTGATATTTAATAATTATTTATAAAACATAATAAATTTATGTTGTTTTGACCCCTTGTGTGCTAATAATAAATATGACAATTCATTCAAGAAAAATGTTAATACTTAAGACCTATGCTCAAAGTAAATTTCTTGGAAATTCAAACTTCAAGGTAGCACATACTGTGTTTTGAGATAATGAAATATAAGAAAATCAATAAAGGACCTTCAAGATTGAAAAGAAAAGTAAAAGGAAAATATAAGTTTAAAAATTAGAAAGAAACAGTGTAGAATTTTCAACTACCGATGACAGTAGGTATCTAATTGCTATGGCTTTTGGTACTATGGTATGTCAGCTCCAATCCAATTAACTATTATTTGCCTGTGGTTCTTATTTCTAAAATCTTAGGAAGCCACTTGCAATAGTACATGAAATTTTCCTCTTTGCCCTCAGGTTAAATATATGTGTCTTTAAGATTTTAAGGTTTTTTACCACTAAGCATATCAAACCAGCCTTGTCATTTCAGTTTTCTTGTATTTCCTAATTTCCCTTTGTGTTTTCTCTCTTTATTGGGAATTTTTAGTCCTTGAATCATTTTTAATTTGAATGACTGTTGTTATTGTTACAAATTTTAATAACTCCAGTAAAATCTGAAAGAACTAAACTAAAACGGTGAGCAGTTTATGAAATAAGAACCTTTTAAAAATTTTGTTTTTAGTTGCTTTATAATATTTGTACACATTTATGGGATAGAGTGTTATGTATCAACACAGGTACAGTAATAACTTTTTGTAATTTCTTTGTGGGTTCTGAAAGCTTAGACATTGTCATTTAAAGGGAACACTTTTAGCTTTGTTAGCTGACAACCAAAATCACGTAGACTTATCTCAGTTGCAGAGCTTGCAACAGGTCTGAATTGGATTGACTCCAGTGTGATAGAAAGGGATTTTATTTTTACCCAAGACACTTGTTTTGCTCCCTCCATCCATGTTTCAGGGGATGGAGTGCTAAGGGGAGGGTTGTCTCTGGGAAAGACACTGCTAACCTAAAAGATGTTAAAGTTATACCAAGAGAAGTGGTCAATACCAAAACGTGAAGACCTGTGTTTTTCATTGGGGTCTAGCTTTTAGATGGGGTCTGGCCAACCTGAAGGAAGTAAATCCTTCATCAGAGATAGATCTGAGTAGCACCCCCTGGACAGAAACAGGAACAACTATCAAAGTCACAAGAACCAGACATTACTAAGGGAAAAAAAGATGAGAGCTACAAACAGAGAAGTGGGAAGGACAAAACAAAACATGGAGAATAAAGGGAGAAAAAACCGACAGCAAGAGAAGGGATTTCCAGAAGCTCATAGGAATTGGTATCTATATATACAGAAATTTGATTCAATGGAAAATGGAGGCAGGGAGTAAGAAAAAATATAGCTATTAATATAAACATTTATGTATTTGTATGTATGTATATGAAATTCTAAATTTTTAAATCATCTTTTCTGTTTCACAATATATAAATATTTTGTTATTTCTCTCTTTGGTAACAGATGTTCCCCTGCATACCCTCTTAGATGTTGTGGCATAAATTAATGTCAGTATCAATATTATTGATTTGCTATATTTACTATTCTTAAAAGAAGCATCTTTTATGAAAAATGAAACCCAATCAATTTGGCTTAAATGAGTTATGACACCAAAGTAACTTTGATTTCCCCAGAAAATGTAGATAGAATATATTCTACCATACTAAATATTAACCAACTAATTTACGGTATTTGTAATACCCTATGCATTTATAAAAGTTGTAGAAAACTGATACAGTTTGGCTGTGTCCACCATCCAAATGTCATCTTGAATTGTATCTCCCATAATTCCCACATGTTGTGAGACAGACCCAGTGAGAGATAAGTGAATCATGGTGGTGTTACCCCCCTATTGGTCTCATGGTAGTGAATAAGTCTCACAAGATCTGATGGTTTTATAAGGGGAAACTCCTTTTGCTTAGCTCTCATTCTTCTCATCTGCCACCATGTGAGATGTGCCTTTCACCTTCTGCCATGATTGTGAGGCCACCCCAGCGACATGGAACTGTGAGTCCACTAAACCTCTTTCTTTTGTAAATTGCCCAGTCTTGGGTATGTCTTTATCAGCAGAATGAAAACGGACTAATACAGTAAATTGGTACCAGTAGAGTAGGGCACTGGTGAAAATATATCTGACAATGTGGAAGGAACTTTGGAACTGGGTAACAGGTAGGAGTTGAAACAGTTATGATAGCTCAGAAGAAGACAGAAAAATGTGGGAAAGTTTGGAACTTCCTGGAGACTTGTTGAATGGTTTTGCCCAAAATGCTGACAGTGTTATGGACAATAAAGTCCAGGCTGAGGTGGTCTCAAACGGAAATGAGAAAATTGTTAGGAACTGGAGCAAATGTAACTCTTGTTATGTTTTACAAAGAGACTGGTGGCATTTTTCCCCTGCCCTAGATATTTGTGGAACTTTGAACTTGAGAGAGATGATTTAGGGTATCCGGTGGAAGAAATGTCTAAGCAGCAAAGCATTCAAGAGGTAACTTGGTTGCTGTTAAAGGCATTCAGTGTTATAAGGAAAGGAGAGCATAAAAATTTGGAAAATTTGCATCCTGACAATGCAATAGAAAAGAAAATCCCATTTTCTGAGGAGAAATTCAAGATGGCTGCAAAAATTTGCATTAGTGATGAGGATCCAAATGTTAATCCCCAAGACAATGGGAAAAATGTCTCCAGGACATGTCAGAGGTCTTCACTGCAGCCCCACCCATAACAAGCCCTGAGGCCTAGGGGAAAAATGGTCACCTGTGCTGTGTGCAACCTAGGGTCTTGGTGCCCTGCATCCCAGCTGCTCCAGCCATTGCTGAAAGGTGCCAACATAGAGCTCAGGCTTTGGCTTCAGAGGATGCAAGCCCAAAGCCTTAGCAGCTTCCATGTGGTATTGAGCCTGCGAGTGCACAGAAGTCAAAAATTGGGGTTTGGGAAACTCTGCCTAGATTTCCGAGGATGTATGGAAATGCCTGGATGCCCCAGCAGAAGTTTGCTGCAGAGGTGGGGCCCTCATGGAGAACCTCTACTAGGGCAGTGTGGAAGGGAAATGTGTGATCAGAGCTCCCCCACAGAGTCCTTACTGGGGCACTGCCTAGTCGAGCTGTGAGAAGAGGGCCACTGTCCTCCAGACCCTAGAACAGTAGATCCACCAATAGCTTACACCATGCACCTGGAAAAGCCACAGACACTCAATCCCAGCAATGAAAGCAGTCAGGAGGGAGGCTGTACCCTGCAAAGCCACAGGGACAGAGCTGCCCAAGACCATGGGAACCCATCTCTTGCATCAGCATGACCCGGATGTGAGACATAGAATCAAAAGAGATTGTTTTGGAGCTTCAAGATTTGACTTCCCTGATGGATTTTGGACTTGCATGGGGCGTGTAACCCCTATGTTTTGGCCAATGTCTCCCATTTGGAATGGCTGTATTTACCCAATGCCTGTAACCCTATTGTAGCTAGGAAATAACTAACTGGGTTTTGATTTTACAGGCTCACAGGTGGAAGGGACTTGCCTTGTCTCAGATGAGACTTTGGACTGTGGACTTTTGAGTTAATGCTGAAATGAGTTGAGACTTTGCAGGACTGTTGGGAAGGTGTGGTTGGTTTTGAAATGTGAGGACATGAGATTTGGGAGGGGCCAGGGCGGAATGATATAGTTGGGCTGTGTCCCTACCAAAATCTCATCTTGTATTTTATCTCCCATAATTCCCACGTCTTGTGGGAGGGAACTGGTGAGAGGTAATTGAATCATGGTGGCAGTTTCCCCCATACTGTTCTCGTGGTAGTGAATAAGTCTCACAAAATCTGATGGTTTTGTAAGGGAAAACCCCTTTCACTTGGCTCTCACTCTTCTCTTGTCTGCTGCCACGTAAGATGTGCCTTTGATCTTCCACCATGATTGTGAGGTCTCCTCAGCCACGTGGACCTGTAAGTTCATTAAACCTCTTTCTTTTGTAAATTACCCAGTCTTGTCTATGTCTTTATCAGCAGCATGAAAACGGACTAATACAAAAAGTCATTTGAATATTCATTTTTCATTTGTAACAGTTCAGTATATTTTTTCAAAACTTATTCTAAAGAGGTGTTTGTTTTCACATAAAGTGTTTAGTAATTGGATCAATTTATTTCATAAGATCTTTAAATCAGAACTGTCAAAAATATAATTTCTGTTTGGAAATAAAAGCAAAAAAAAAGAAATATTCCAATTGCAAATACATGAAAATCTCCACATTTCCTTACCCTATGTTCCCTACGTTTGGATGTTCTTCTTAGATCTAGTTGATTCCTTCTCTAGTACCCTTCTCAGAATTTGTTTCATAAGTGTTCTGAAAGAACTGGTCATCTTTTTAGCATTTTAGGCACAAACGAAAATAATAATAACAAAAAGAATAAGAATAGTAGCTAACATTTGCTGAATTCTGACTTTGGACCAGGCACAAGGCTAAGCTCCATGCATGTGTTATATCATTTAATCTTCATGGCCCTATTAGTTCAATGCCATTATTACCTCTGTTTTGCCATTGAAGAATAAGGTACAGAGAGGTTAAGTAACTTTCCCAGGGTCGCAGTTTGTAAATGGTTCAGTTGAAATTTGACTCTAAACTATCTGAATCCAGAATTTCTACTTTGGACCACTCTGTAGTTTAGAAAAGAAAACAATTTTTATTGGTTTTATGAAATTAATTTAAAAGGTATAATGATTCATATGTTGCTCTACTACATTATCAACAACAGTACTGAAAACATTCAGAAATAGTTTGTAATCAAAGTGAATTTACTTTCTAGTTCTGCACTTGTCACTACAAATGCATTCATTGTGAGCAAAAACATGTTACAAGGACTTAGAAAACATTGCTATTTTGGCCAATACCTGTTTAACTGAGTTTCCAGAATAGCTGAGGCTCTCTTTTTCCCAGTGGATCATATGATTCATTGCTGCCCACAGAACATTAACTCCTAGTTACCTGTGCCCATTAGCTACCACCAGTTGTATGTTCACCAAGAATTGCTTATCTTCAATCGTTTGTGAGTTTTTTATTATAATTACTAAATTTAATTAAATGTTATATGAAATGATAACAATGAAAATATGAAATTGTTTCCATAAAAATTAAGTTACAATCTTTAGAAAGACTCAATCAACTTGAGTTCTTAAATGAAGAAAAATGCAACTGAATTAAATATGAGTAGTACAGTTATAAAGTAATGGGGAAAATAAACAGTGACAGAATTGCTGCACAACTTTCTTACTCCACTGTTTAAAGGTGTATTTTTGGAAAGAAGACAAATTCAATCTGTTCCATCTGGTCCTACAACATTTAATTATGTTGTAATAAATGAGATGTTCATTTTATACATATGTATATATATAGAGAGAGAGAGAGAGTATCATTTTTAAGAATAATTCTCAATTTATCCATCTTTTTCAGCTTCCTCCAAACTATTGGGGCCTTATTGTTTCAGTTTGCAGTACATTTTGAGTTAAAATCTACTTGGTACAATAGTGTCTTAAAATTCTTACTATTTGTATTAGAACAAAGATGATAGAAAAAAAGAATTTTCAAAATACTATTTATTTTGGATAGACTATAGGGAATTTAGTGGAAACATTTAACCAGTATCAGTGAATAATCAACTAAAAGCTCCTGGGATCTTGACTTACCTACCTAACACTGACCTTGTCCCATAAAATAGTAAGATACGGCTGGGCACGGTGGCTCACGCCTGTAATCCCAGCACTTTGGGAGGCGGAGGTGGGCGTATCATGAGGTCAGGAGATTGAGACTATCCTGGCTAACATGGTGAAATCCCGTCTCTACTAAAAACACAAAAAAATTAGCCGGGCGTGGTGGCGGGTGCCTGTAGTCCCAGCTACTCGGGAGGCTGAAGCAGGAGAATGGTGTGAACCAGGGAGGCGGAGCTTGCAGTGAGCCGAGATCGTGCCACTGCACTCCGGCCTGGGCAACAGAGCAAGACTCTGTCTCAAAAAAAAAAAAAAAAAAAAAAAAAAAAATAGTAAGATACACACAACTCTCTTTCATCAAGTAAAAAGGAAAGAAATCTTCTTAAGGTGTTCCAAAGTCTTTTGATACAAACATCTTCCCTGGAATAGGATGTGAAAACTGAGCATGCTGAATACACATGAATGCACACATGAAATACACATGAATACACATGAATACGGACTGTTACACTGAGGTTGGCCCACTACAGAGGCCTGCGTGGTAATGAAACCTGTGAGCTAAGCAAGGGCTGTGTGCCAGGACTGATGGAAATTGCACTGCAACTTTAATTTTTTACTAACCATTGTCTGTTAACAGAATTACATGTTTATAAAAGCAAAGGGTAAAAATATTTTTATAGTCATGACTCTGCTAACCATTGACACTTTTTCATCCAACAATTAGTCTCACTCCCCAAAAGCACTTACACAGCCATACCTGGACCTTCCTTGACATTCAAGCACTTGCAGAAACTCTGCCACTCTGCCTAAGTCTATATATCTTTCATAACCTCTTTATGTCACTCTTTCCTCAGTTTGCAAATATTTTTATGGGTACATTTTTCTTCCTTCACTCTGACTTGAGCTCTCCATTACTGGTTTCTCTATTTAAAATTCATGATACTTTGCCTTAAAGAAAGGCTATTGACTACAGATACGTTTGAATTGAAGGACTAGGAGAAATAAAATGTTGGTGGCAGATATTTAGGAGATGATGAGTATTTCATTGTGCCTAATGTGACAGGTGCATGGAAAGGGTAGGCTGGAAAGAGAATTTGGGGGCTAAGTTACAGGAGAATATTAAAACAAATTCTACTCTAATAAGAAGTTTGTCTAATTGCATAAACTTTGAAAATACCAGAAATTGTAATAGCATCAAAAATTATGCTTCTGATAAAAACAAATAAGTCATTTTTCATAGCCAAGAACTAAAAATTAACAATAAAAGTGAATATAAAAACATTTGGCTCTTAGGCAAATTTAATTTAGGTCAAGTTTCAAGATAAATAACATGAATTTATTTGATTCGCAAATTATAAGACTGTCTTTTTCTTCGTATTTTTTGTTGCTTCTCACATTTTAAAACAGTGCTTTATTCTCAATACCTGGACCTCTTCTTTGTTTTGTTTTGTTTTCTTCCCTGCAAAATGTGGGGTCTGGACATTGTTCTTCGATAGAAAACTCTCTATGATAAATGAGTGATTCATGGATCTAATAAAATAAGTTCCTAGAGTTAGTAATATGATTTAGTCTTATTTCACTGCAATCTGAAAAGGATCATCTTTTGATTTCCACAAAATCTTATGACTAGTGGATGTATGACCAATGGTGTTTGTGACAGAGGAGAGGTATAAGCATCTATTGGACCTCTAAGGACCAGTTTCTTAGGGACAGAATTTGGAGATCAATCAATTAAGGCAATCTACAATCTGTCACAATCTGTTCATCCTAGTTCTCAGGTTAATGGTGTGTAATTTATTTATTTGGTATTCATATGCCAAACTACTATTTTAAAATCTTGATTGGCTGTTGATTTTATTATTGATGTTTTTACTTTTGATTTCTCAACCAATCCCTGTTTCATTTGGCTTCCTAGTCTCTGTTTCATTTGGTTTCATCATTCTGTTTTACCCACCAGAATATGGCCAAAGGAGATAGGAAAACAGGGTAGAAATTTGTTCATCACACGGGCCAGACACGGTGGCCCACACCTGTAGACCCAGCATTTTGGGAGGCTGAGGTGGGTGGATCACTTGAGGTCAGGAGTTCAAGACCAACCTGGCCAACGTGGTGAAACCCCATCTCTACTAAAAATACAAAAAAAAAAAAAAAAAATTAGCGAGGTGTGGTGGCATGTGCCTGTGTTCCCAGCTACTCAGGAAGCTGAGGCAGGAGAATCACTTGAACCCGGGAGGCGGAGATTGCAGTGAGATGGTGTCGTGCCATTGCATTCCAGCCTGGGCAACAGAGCGAAACTCAGTCTCAAAAGAAGTCTGTTCATCACACACAAGTACAGCTCTCTTCTGGCTCCTGGCCTTCAATTTTGCATAATCACCAATTTCTTTGTAGAGCTCAAGTCAAATGCTACTTCTTCAGAGAAACTTTCCCTGACCTGCTCATCTAAGTAACAGGACCCATCCCAACTGTAATCACTCAAGCTCCTTATCCTACTTGGTTTTTCTTCACAGCATTATCTTCACTTAAATAATAGTTTCTATTTACTCATTTAATTACAATAATGAGAGCTAATTACTGAGCTCCCAGAATGAGCCAGGGACTATTAACAAGTGTTTTATGTGTATTAAATCATTTGATTCTTATATACCCCTGTGAAGTAGAAACTGATGTCTTCCTCTTTTAAAAAACAGAAACAAGCAAAGGAGGCTGAGTAATTTGTCTGAGCTTATACGGGCAGTGCTGGCTCACTCCGGAAAGGCTGGCTCCCCACTAGAGTTACCCAACCACTATAAAGATAGGAATTTGGCTTATTTTTTCCACTGATATGTTTCCTTTGCTCAAAACTGTACCTAGCACAGAGTGGTTATTCAATCAATACTGTATTTGTAGAATGAATGAATGAATTAGAGGGTGAAGGTGTGAGTATAAAGGAATTAGGAAACAAGTTAATTCTATACAGCATGTTAAACCTGCATCAGCAGATTCCAGAAAATTCAAATTAGCAAAGACAGCCAGGGGCAGGAGGTGGTTAATTTGTTTAACGTAACAAGGGAATTGACTTTTTTCTGAACTTTTAAAATCATTTTATCTATCTTGGTCTGTAAGAATTTTCATGTTGAGCTTTCTTTCCTTAGCAGCTAATATCTCTGATCTTTAGTGAGCCTTTTTTATAAAACGAGCATCCCAAGGTCACAGTTTGAATTTTTTTCAGTGTTGCCTTTATTTATTTTTAATCATAGAGGGAGGAAAGCCTCCATCAAAATTCTGTCTGTCATAGAAGGTAATATTATTACTGTGTCAGAAAGGTCTAAGTAAATGTTTGATTAAAATGCCAGAAGAGGTGCTGTTGGTAAAAACTGCTAAACCATAGCATGCTGTGTTAAGAGACACTATTCTTAGGAGGAGGTATGATTTCTATTTAAAGTTATAGGTGATGGTTTATGTGCACAATTTGGAGGACAAGATAAAGGACAAAGCAAGAAAGTGTTGGAATAAAATGAGGCTGCATAAATTGAAGTTGTAAAACTGGCTTAAAGGGAAAGGGGAAGTTAAAAATGAAAGTTTCTGCTTCAATTTTCCATTATGTAGGCCAGAGTTTGTTGGTTGGTGTTTAAATGAAGCCCGTAGATATGACACATTTTGAATTACAATTCTTAAAGCAGTGACTCTCAGATTTTTTCAAATAATACTGTATCATTGGGGGGACTTATCTTTGAAAGAGTAATAGAATTTATGGCTTACACTGATTTCAGGCTTTGGAAATGTCACTTTTATCGTAAAACTTTTGTAAAACAATGTCCTATGTGGAATGAAAATTAGTCAATTTACGAAAATCAAAGGTATTCAGATTGAAGTCAGAGTGGGGCACAAAAGACTCTATCTGGTCACTTCTTCTTCCTATATAGCCTTTGCACAAGTTCAAGCCACCATATATATGGGCACCAGTGCACTAGTAGGATAGACTTAGCACTTTTCAACATGATAGCATTTATGAAGAAAAAATGATTACAGGCCAGGCGCGGTGGCTCACGCCTGTAATCCCAGCACTTTGGGAGGCCGAGGTGGGTAGATCACCTGAAGTCAGGAGCTCGAGACCAGCCTGGCCAATGTGGCGAAACCCCATCTCTACTAAAAATGCAAAAATTAGTTGGGCGTGGTGGCGGGCACCTGTAATCCCAGGTACTCGGGAGGCTGAGGTAGGAGAATTGCTTGAACCCAGGAGACAGAGATTGCAGTGAGCCAAGATCATGTCATGGCACTCCAGCCTGAGTGACAAGAGCGAGACTCCCTCTCCAAAGAAAAAAAAAAAAGAAGAAAAAATGATTACAACTTAACAGCACAAACATCTTTCAATTTTTATATATCCTTTATCTATCCTTTGAGCAAAAAGCTGACTTCTGTGAAGTATATCTAAGATATAATTGTTTTTCTTATCACTGGCCACAAAAAGCTTCATAAAACCCCCAAAAACTTTATTTCTTTAGCTTTACTGAGGTGTGATTGATGAATACAAAATGTATATACTGAAGATGCACAATGTGATAATTTGATATATTTATACACTGTGAAATGGCCACTACAATCAAGCTAATTAACATATCCATCACCTCACATAGTTACCCTTTGTGTGTGTGTGTTTGTGTGTATGATGAGAATATTTAAGATTTACTTTCTAAGCAAATTAAAATATACAATACATTATTATTAACTTTAAGTATAATGCTGTACATTAGGATTTCAAAACATATTCATTTTATAATTCAAAGTGTATATATACCCTTTGACCAAAATCATCCAAATTTCCCTATCCCTCAGACCCTGGAATCAACATTCACTTTCTGTTTTTATGAGTTTGACTTTTTTAGATTTCACAGATATGTGAGATCATGCAGAGTTTGTTTTTCTGTGTCTGGCTTATCAATAGGTTCATCCATGTTGTCATAAATGACAGGATTTTTTTCTTTTTTGAAGGATAAATAATATTCCACTGCATATATATACCACATTTACCAACAAATGTATTCATTCATCTGTTGTCAAGACACTTGGGTAGTTTTTGATATCTTGGCTATTGTGAGTAATGCTGCAATGAACATGGAAGTGCAGGTAGCTCTATGAGGTGCTGATTTCATGTTCTTTGGGTATATACTCAGCAGAGGCATTGCCAAGTAATATGGTAGGGCTATTTTGAATTTTTTGAGGAAACTTCATACTATTTATTATAATGGCTGTTCTAATTTGCATTCCCACCAACAATGTACAAGGGTTCCCATTTTTCCACTTTCTCACCAACACTGGTTACTTCAGCACCTTTTTATATGCCTGTTAGTCATTTGTGTGTCTTCAAAAATGTCTATTCAGGTCCTTGGCCTATTTTTAATTTCTTTTTGCTATTAGTTGTGTAAGTTCCTTACATATTTGTATATTAATCCATTATTAAATATGTGTGTTGCAAATATCTTTTCTCATTCCACAGTTTGCCTTTTCATTTTGTTCATTTTTTCTTTGCTATGCAGACATTTTTCAATTTATGCAGTCCTACTTGTTTATTTTTGCTTTCATTGCCTATGTTTTTGGTGTCATATTCAAAAATTTATTACCAAGAGGATTGGCAAGGAGCTTTTCCCATATGTTTTCTTCTAGCGGTTTACATTTAAGTCTTTAATCCATTTGAAGTTGCTTTTGGTGTGTAGTGTAAGATAAGGATCAAATTTCATCCTTTTGCATGTGGATATCCGGTTTTTCCATCACAATTTATTGAAAAGACTATCCTCACTGTGCATTCTTGGTTCCTTTGTCTAGAATTAAGTGGCCATATATCTGTGTGTTTATTTGTGGGCCCTCTATTTATTCTATTCCATTTGTCCATGTGTCTGTTTGTAAGCCAGTACCACATGGTTTTGATTACTATAACATTTTAATATAATTTGAAATCAGAATTATGATGTCTCCAGTTTTGTCATTGTTGCTCACGACTGCTTTAACTATTCAGTTTCTTTAGTGGTTTCATATGAATGTTAGAATTGTTTTTTCTATTTCTGTGAAAAATGCCATTGGAATTTTGATAGAGATTGCATTGAATCTGTAGATAGCCTTGGGTATTATAAAATTTTTAATATTATTTTTCCAGTCCATGAACATGCAATACTTTTCCATTTATTTGTGTCTTATTCACCTCATCAATATTTGATATTTCATCAATGTTTGATAGTTTTTAATGTATAGATGTTTCACCTATTGGTTAAAATTATTCCTATATTATTCTTTTTTGATGTTGTAAATGGGATCATTTCCTTAATTTTTTTTCAAATTGTTTATTGGTAGCATATAGATTTTTGTATGTTGATTTTTCTCTTGCAAGTTTACTGAACGCATTTATTAGTTCTAATAGCTTTTTAGTGGAGTCTTTAGGGTTTTCTATATACAAAATCATGTCATCTGCAAACAGAGATGATTTCACTTCTTCCTTTCCTATTTGGAAGCTTTTCACTTATTTTTCTTGTTGGACTTGCAGTACTGTGCAAGTACTTGCCAGAAATGGCAAGAATGGGCATTCTTGTATTATTTCTGATCTAAAACGAAAAAGTTTCAGCTACTCACTATTAAGCATAATGTTCATTGTGAGTGTGCCATACATTGCCTTTATTATGTTAAGGTACATTCTTTCTAGATCTAATAAAGCTGAGAGTTTTTATTATGAAAGGGTGTTGGATTTTGTCCAATGTTTTTCCTGCATCTATTGAGAAGATTATACTTTTTCTATCCTTCATTTTGTTAATGTGGTGTATTATACTTAGTGATTTGCATATTTTGAACTATCTTTGCATTGCAAGGATAAATCCCACTTGATTATGGTGCATGATCCTTTAAATGTGCTACTGAATTCACTTTGCTGGTACTTTGTTCAGGATTTTTGCATCTATGCTCACCAGGCATATTGCTCTCTATATTTTTTTCTCTTGTCCTTGTCTTGCTTTGGTATCAGGGTAGTGCTGACTTCATAAAATGATTTTGGAAATGTTCCCTCCTCATCAATGTTTTGGAAGGCTTTGACAAAAAGTACTGTTAATTATTCTTTAAATGTTTGGTATAATTCACCAGTGAAGTCATCAGATCCTGGGATTTTCTTTGCTGGGAGACTTTTGATTACTGATTCAATATATTTATTATTGTCTGTTTAGATTTTCTGGTTTCTTCATGATTCAGTCCTGGTAAGTTGTTTGTTTCTAGGAATTTATTCATTTATATTTTTAGATGAGGAAATTGAAGCTCAGAGAGTATAAGATACTTGCCTCAGATTTCTATCTGTCCAGTATCTGACTAGGTAATTCTAGAATATAGATTGTTATATTCAAAATCCTGTATACTTAACCTAGGATTAACCTTAGGATAACAATAACCTAGGATACTTAGCTGAAAGAAAAATAACTTTAATAATATATAACATACTATAATAGCAAAATCATCAATGATCCATAAAATTAACAGAAGAAAGGATTAGAAAGTCAATATAATGTGTATTTATTACTTCAACATATTTTATTGAGCATCAAACATGTATGATCATTAATCAAAGTGCTGGTAATCTACAGTGAAAGAAGTCAATAAAAGGACCCTTACAAATCTTGCATTCTAATGGGAAAATAGTAACTAACATATATGTCAACTGAAGACTAAAAATAGAAGAAATAGTGCTCATATGTATTTGTGTGTGCACACATGTATGTATCTAATATGAATAGAAATGAACAGGTGCTGAGGAAAAAATATAACAGCATATAATGTACAGTATTAAATGGACCTTAAAAAGAAATAGAGACTTACCATCACAACCATAAATCTACTGAGAATCACAATGACAGGGCATGGAGCCAAGAAACGTACACTGTTAACAGGTTGCCCCAAATGATCATTTGACAACCACTCTACTAGGTAAACATTCTAGGTAAACCACTCTACTAGGTAAACAGTCTAAGTATGAAATCAAATAGCTATAAAGTTTAATAACGCTCAAGTTCCACATTAGAGGATTAAACATAAGAAGTCACAAATTCTCCAAGATAGGTCTAGGTACTTAGTACATGCATCACTTCAGGTAAGTAATGTAACCACCTGTATTAGTCTGTTCTCACACTGCTAATAAAGACATACCCAAGACTGGGTAATTTATAAAGGAAAGAGATTAAATTGGTTCACAGTTCCACATGGCTGGGGAGGCCTCACAGTCATGGCAGAAGGTGAAGGAAGAGCAAAGGGACATCTTACATGGTGGTAGGCAAAGAGAAAACTTGTGCAGGGGAACTTCCATTTATAAAATCATCAGATCTTGTGAGACTTATTCATGAGAACAGCATGGGAAAGACCTGCCCCCATGATTCAATTACCTCCCACCTAGTCCCTCCCACAACACATGGGAATTATGGGAGCTACAATTCAAGAGGAGATTTGGGTGGGGACACGGCCAAACCATATCACCACTTTAAGATCCAGTTTCCTCATCTATAAAATAAAGATGACATAACAAGAAGAAGAAAAAGGAGAAAGAGGAAGGAGAAGAAAGGGGGAAAAGAGAAGAAATGTGAAGATAAAGACAGAGTGAGCAAAAAAGTAAAATGCTGTAAAAATGATTACATGTGGCTAGGCATGGTGGCTCATGCCTGTAATCCCAGGACTTTGGGAGGCCAAAGCAGGCAGATCATGAGGTCAGGAGATTGAGACCATCCTGACCAACATGGTTAAGCCCTGTCTCTACTAAAAATACAAAAATTAGCTGGGTGTGGTGGGGCGTGCCTGTAATCCCAACTACTCAGGAGGCTGAGGCAGGAGAATTGCTTAAACTTGGGAGGCAGAGATTACAGTGAGCCGAGATTGCGCCACTACACTCCAGCCTGGGTGACAGAGCGAGACTCTGTCTCAAAAAAAAAAAAAAGAAAAGAAAAGAAAAGAAAAGAAAAAAGATTACATGTGCTTTAATATAAAAAAGGCATAATCAACTTAGATGAAAATACAGGAATCATCCATTAAATCAACAAAATATAAATTAAGTTAGGTATGCATATTGACTAGAGGTCTTGTTAGGTTGGTTAGTGCTTTGGTGTAATCAATCTGTTGAAGAATGAATCCAACATCAACCAAAGAATGTCTTTTAACATTGGCTTTCTAATAAAGAAAAATGAAAAAACATGCAGTTTAACAGCTTTTATTCACCCTTCATAAGTTCATTTTTTTCAGAAAGAATTTATAATGTCCTTGACATTTGATATGTAATAATCACATTTATGGCTCTCATTTTATAATGGCATTTCATAATACTGAAATAAATTGCTTTCCTAAATAGAATCCATCATATTTTAAACTAAAAATATTATTCGCTTTAGATTATAATTAATTTACATACTATAATTTATATGCATAGAGTGAACTATTAGCCCCAATTCTTTATTTTCTTGTAATTAGACTATACTGCCATATACTTGATATAGTTTTATGATGGGAAGGGTGTATTTCTCTATACTTTTTCTCTACCTTGGCCAGAGGCTTGAAATATGATGGAGTGCTTGGGTTATCCTGTTACACTTCTGCCATTGTCTAGAAGAACCTGCCCTGTGTAACCTACTGGCCCTACGTCAATGAGAAAAGTGGGGCAGACATGAAACTAACCAAATCAAACCCAGCCATGCCTGACCTAGAATTAGCAGGCCCCAAATGCTTTGCAGACATGTGAGTGACAAATGGGTGCATATTATTGTATGTCACAGATATTTTGTTTGTTAGTCAGCATTGTTTTGGCAATAGCTAGCTCTCAGATATGATGTAGTTTTTTCCTGCAGTATGATGTAAACTTATCCTGATTTTCTCACCGTAATTTCTTTTACATGTCTTCTATTATTGTTTTATCAACTAGTTAGAAAACTCCAAAAGAAAAGGGCTAGTTTTGAAAATATATTTGTAGTATCTTTCAGTGTGTAGCAAAGAGCAAATTAATGTTATTCATGGGCTCTTTATTTTGTGGTTCAATAGTGCACAGGTTTTACTCAACATTTAAAGCAATCTAAAATAACTGTCTGGGTTTTTTCCTACCCCATCCCACTCCCACTCCTCCATGTGTAAGCAAAAAGTATTATTTTTCTACCCTCACTTCCTCTTTTATTCCCTGAAAATAAGAAGGAAAAAAAAGTTGTTTGTTCCAAATTACATACTACTTGCTGACCTTCTAATTTAAACAATGGTTGAGTTTTAGGTTAGATAAATATGTTTAAGAGCCAAAATAAAATCCATCATTGGCATGGAACTAATGTCTGACTGGGTTGGGTTCCATTGCTGTACAAACTTAAGTTAGGATTCAAAAACTGTCGTTTGTGGTGAGAATGGTATTCTACAATAGGCCATCGTTTTTTCGTTTTTGATATTCAGCTCTTTACTTTATGACCTATTTCCTCAGAAATTTGGGACAGACTGATTTGGAGTGGCATGAGCAAGAGGGAGTGAGAGGAAACAATTTAGAAAGCATATGAAAACGAGATATGGCAAAACAAACACAGAGAACATCAAGTAAATTTCTCACCCTCATCTTGTTCATTTTGTCCTTAGTAATAACAAAGGAATCCATGAGATTGTGTCAAGTTTACAGATTTTAATCTCAAATCTCAAATGTTTTAATATCCTCTTCCTATGTTTGCTAAATCAAATTTCCAGAGTTTGTTCATGTATTTACAAATTCGAAGATAAAGTTAATAGTACAAATTAAAAATATTGCCTGGCTAGTAAAAGCCCTGGTTATGAGAAACAACAATAACTTGGAAGTCCATTCTAGACTCAGATTAAGCAATTACTTGCTGGAGATTTAGTAAAGTGAGGACACAAATTTTACCGTAAAGGACATGGGGAAAAAAATAAGAGCTGACCATTTCAGGACAAATGCTTTTTTCTATGACTGCCTATATGCTGAGGACTGGCGATGAAAATCCTTCATGTTGTCCTGTAAGAATGCTAGTTTACTATGATCTGATTGGTCAAATAATACCAGAAGCTATTGTGTCTATGATCCAATTAGGCCCTTCCTAAAAGATATTCTATATGTACAACTGGAAGACTTCTAGAGCCCTTTGGAAGAGAGGAGAATCTATTTAAGAAGCCCAGTCTTGACCACATTCCCATTAGTCTTTATCTAAATTTGAATATCTGGACCACTAAAAACTACTCCAAACTGATTTTCTTTATGGAAAGAGGGTAAGTAGGACTATTTTGGTGTTAAAATATTTGAAAAAGTTTACAGAGCACTCACTAAGTCCAGGTACTATACCAGGCTCTGGGGACAGAGCAGGGTTCAGAGTAAACAAGCACTGCCTTTGCTCTCATGAGAACTCACAGTGTAGTAGGAGAGATTAGAAAGTTAAGAGATGTCACATAAGTTGTTATTGAGTGAAGAGATCCCTGAAAGACACAGAGTGAAGGAAATATTGGGCCTGGGGCATATCTTCTTGGGGGTTCAGCATCCTCAAATGTTGAATTGCCAAATTGCTAATTGGGGTGATTTCCATAATGCCTGATAGTGAGATTTTTTTTTTACATATCTGAAAAAATCATTACAGTATGTTTCACCTTCTCTTTCATTATTTGTTGTTTCATTTATCACATATAAAGTTAAAGAATGTAACACTAGACTTTGTACCTTGGAGTAACCAGTGTTGGGTGTGACTTACATCTTTTCCAGAATTGATGTTTGTATCTTACAAAGTCTACAGGTGCTGGCCAGGCTAGTCTCAGTCTCTTTGAAAACTGAATTTTTATGTCTTTTATTACTGGCCAAAAGTATGTTATTTGTTTGAAATAGTGTGTGCATAAAAACATGCTAACTTAATCCCAGGACACCAATAACTTAAGCAACAACCTTTAAAACCGTAGTCAGTTGTTGTTTCTAAAACAACTGAATTATTTTTCCTAGCCATAGTGTTGGTGAGGATTGATTTTATTTTCTCATGTCTTTTGAAGCTCTCATGAGGGAGAGAAATGTTTTGAAATGTTATCTGGTGATTGTTTATTCCTGGTAATTCTTGCTGCCCCAAAGTCCTTCACCTACTGTGTGAGGCATCCTTAGCTTCAGAGGAGGGCAGAGGCCAGTCAACAGCAGAGGTGATAAAGTTCAGATTTTGACTTCTAAAGCTATCACTTAATACTTTCTTCAGAGACGACAATTGTAAGAATAAGCTTGTAATTCAGTCTTTTTAGAAAAGGAAAAAATCTTATAAATAAAAAAATGAAAGTTTTTTAAACAGCAACAAGCAAAGATTGCAACCAAGGAGCACAGGGTTTTTACCCTAAGCCACAGAGTAGGAAGGATGCAATAGATGACCCAGGGACAGTTCCCACTTAACAGAAAGGAGAATACCCTCTAAGCTGGACCAAAAAAATCCCTAAAGGAGGTGACGTGAACACACAGCCTGCTCCTTGTGCATATGCACGCACACGAGCGCACGCGCACATGCGCGCACACACACACACACACCACTTCACTCAGGGCCTGAAATCCCTAGAATAAAGGGGAGCCCTTTTCAGAAGCCACAGGATTGACAGAACAGAGCAAGGTCAGCTGGAGAATATAGCTGAGTCTTAGAAGATCAAGCAACACCAGCAGTGATCCAGAAGGGTTCACAACCAGCTGGGTGATATTACCAAGCTTTCCCAGGGTGATCCCTGTGAACTATATTAATCCAGGAAAAAATAATACAAGTTATATGAGACAAAGACTCTTCAAAAGTGGACACCCTAAAACTATGGTGATGCCCCAAGAGCAGATTACACCAGATCTTTGGGAGCTAGTATGGGATAAATATCCTTTCCCAGCCGGAAAATTATGTCAGCCCAGTCCACACTGAGATCAGGCCTTGAAAGAAGGGCAGGTGAAGGAGAAAAGGAAAAATGTTGAAGTTGACTCAATATTTAGCCACAAGAGACTAACTTTATTAGTCAAAAGTGACTGAGATGCCTTGAAATGGCAAGATTAGATCCTCCCTCCATCATCTGCAGAAGGCTGAATTCACTTATTAAAAATAATTGAACTTCTGTGTATATGAGTTGCAGCGGATACACTTAAGCCTATCATGCTTAAGGCAGTCATTGCATTTTGCTGTACCTCAGTTCAAGCATGAATATTATAAGGAACAATGAAAGGTCTACTTATAAGGTGCATTCATTAACTTATTCTCAAAACTGTATGTTCCACCAAGATAGGGGTTTCAGTCTATATTGTTTATGGATACATCCCTATTATCTAGACAGTGCCCCACATATACTGGATGCTCAATACTTTTAACAAACAAAATACAATTGATTGTTCATTAGTTATCTGACAAAAAGTCCTTGAAGAATTTAAAGAGCTGATTTTCAAGCTTTTTAAATACTGGTACCCTTTACTTACTCTTTAGTTTAATATTAATAACAAGTTTGATCAAAAATGATAAATTAGGAAATGGCTGTTTTTCATTACTATAAATCATTGTGACCTGTCCAAAATAAAACATTAAAGAGCAAATTTTCTGGGTACATTTAAAGTATGATCTCTTTTCATGCAAATCTCCAAGATCATGCCTACTATTATCCATAACCTGCACCAGGAGAACTTCACCTGAGGCTCTACTACTACTCAGTACCCCAACTAAAAAAAATGTTTAAGGCCTTATCATAAAAAACCTGGTAGCTAACATCCTTGAAATTAACATTTTGGAGCTCAAATAGACATTTAATGGTCAAACACATGTAACACTATAAGTAAATAAGTCTAATTTTCAAAGGTATAAAATTTCTAATTAAAAAAGCCTTGACCTTGCCTCTTCTTTGCCTTATGGTTGTGTAAAGTTTCATTTTCATCATCATGCCAATTTCCTACCTTCTCTTCCTACTCCCACTGAGATTTTCTTAAGTCTTTTCATGTATTATGAATAAATTCAATACAGTTGTCTGGGATTTATTCCAACTAAAGAACAATGAAACTTTAGCTTTTGATTTTTATATTCATAAGTTGTTTTTGGAAAGGGACCATTTGAGAAACACTAGTAGTAATTGCCTGCTATGCGGAGTTGTGAAGGATCAGTACCCACAATTGCAATTCTCTTGAAAGCAAAGCTCCAGGAGCCCACAAAATGCTTTCGGTCTAGTGCCAAACCTAAAATTCGTTCTCTGGAATGAACTATTCCTTCCACTGGAAAAGACAGATACCAAACTAAGCAGCCTTCTCTATGTTTGTTTTGGGAATGGCTTAGTCATTGGGCCCTAAGTAAAATAATTCCTTTTGGCGGGGTTAGGGTTGGGGGAAATGTTGATATTAACTTACACAACAAAAATGTTTTAAAATGCAGGTTATGGTGAAATAACAAATGATCTCAAAATCTCAGTTGCTAGAAAAAGGGTTTATTTCTTGCTCATGGAACTTGTTACACAGATGGACTGCATTTTCTGTCCTTGTGGTCTTCATTCCAAAATCCAGGCTGATAAAGCAGCCTCTGTCTACATTTTTCTGATGATCATGGCACAGGGAAAAGAATAAATCGTGAACCACATATTGGCTCTTAAACTTTATGCTCAGAAGTAACACACATTACTTCAGCCCATTTTCATTGGCCAAAGAGAAACGTGTGGCCAAGTCTGATGTCAGTGGGTCATGGAAATATAATCTTCCCCTGGGGAGGATCATCAAATATCAGAGAACAATAATACAACTTGCCACGGAATCTTCCTATACCACTGGATGTTAATTAACACTAATTAATATTGGATATTTATTAACAAACAAATATAACCTTTAATTTCATACTTTTATACTTACTAGTGATAATATTTAATATCTATTTTGTGTTTGTTACCTGCCAGAATCAATGATAGGCATTTTACATGTGTTATTTCATTTAAATTTAACAGGTTAGTATATAATTACTCCCATTTTAAAGATGAAGCTAGTGGACAGAGAAGTGGTTTGCATCGCATAGATAATAAGTGACGAGGTAGAGGTGACTCAAGTCCTTTGTAAATTGCCTTACACACACTAACAATAACAATGTGTCAGTTTATAAATGTACTTGAACTTGTGCTCAAAACTACTATCATTTTCCCTTTTTCTTTATAAATTTGGGTTATCTCAGAGTACAACAAGAGCTCTTTTGAATAACATACCCATCTAGGGCCCATAAGAGAGCAGCACACCTGAGAATAAAGAAGAAGACGATGAACCAGCTGTTTCCATAATCTCAGCATAACTGTATTGCCAAACTGTACTGACCACCCATAGAAAATATGAACAGCTCCAGGGCAATTAAAAGTTTAGATTCCAACAATGAAGAATCATTCCTGATATGTAAGGTCAGACCCTTTAAAACTGAGCAGAATAAATATTATTATTGCTAACATTTTTAATGTATTCATTTGACTTTGGGGAAGAATGAATAGATGCAAAAGATGGTCTATCTTAATAGTCTCCTGAATTAATACATTAATTTGATTCAGTCTATCAGAAACCTATTAGCAACTACTAAAAACAACCATGGGCCAGGTGTGGTGGCTCACGCCTGTAATCCCAGCACTTTGGGAGGCCGAGGCGGGCGGATCATGAGGTCAGGATTTCGAGACCAGCCTGACCAACACGGTGAAACCCCATCTCTACTAAAAATACAAAAATTAGCTGGGCGTGGTGGTGCATGCCTGTAATCCCAGCTACGTGGGAGGCTGAGGCAGGAGAATCACTTGAACCCAGGGGGCAGACGTAGCAGTGAGCCAAGATCACACCACTGCACTCCAGCCTGGGCGACAGAGCAAGACTCCGTCAAAAAAAAAAAAAAAAAAAAAGAGAGAGAAACCAAAATTGGCAATCGAAATTGTCTTTGACATTTTGAAGAGCCCCCAGGAAGTATATGACTGGTGCTGCCATCTGTGTCCTCACAGTGACGCAGTGGTAGCATCCTGTGTACGCATGTGGAGCTAATACCATGGATTACTACAGAACAGATGACTCAGTCTGAAAACGGGGTAACTGGTCCTGAAATGCTTCCCGTCAATAAGTCAACAGGAGATTGCTTGGCTTTCATGTCATACTGGGTTTGAGTTTGCATGGGAAAGCTTAAGGAAACCTAAGCTCTTTCTACTTTTTTTTGTAGGATTTATTCTGAATGTGGAAAACAAGTCTAGAAGACTCTCCCACTGACTGTTACCTTTGTCCCAGACCATCTCAAACTTTTGTGCTTTCATTTTATTAAAAAAGGGAGATGCTCCCTGCAATCTCTGGGACCTTTTTGAGATATTTGAAGCAGAATATAAAGAGTGGTTCCTCTTCCTATCTTAGTCTTCCTTGTGGTTAGAATGCTTCACTTGTATGACAGATTTTTTATTATTATTATGTGCTCTGATAGTTTTAAATGTGAACTTGTGCACAAATGTGCAGATTCAATGATCTTGTTACAAATGTAAATTACATACATAAACAACATAATAAACAAATAAATAATAGAATACATATCTTTATAGTCACCAAGCCTGTTTATTGAAAATGGAGGTATCAGTGTGCCTTAGTTGCTAAAATTTGTAATGCTTGCTGAGTCTGTTCAAGCCCTGTTTTATCATCCAGTTTCTCATATGCTATCCTCCAATCTTTCACATGTTCTCTGTTGATCTTTGTTGTTAACCACTGACCTTCACGTATTCAATCCTACTGTGACCAGTGGACAGGAACACACCCAGTACTCCAGATCTAGAGAGTATTTTACTAATCTTACCTGCCGTAATTCAGTCTAAAGCAGATTAAAAGTTCTTTCCCTATCCTAAAGAATGCGTTTATGTACATTCCTGATTTCCAATCACTAAGTGCAGATGAGTACACACAGTCTTTATTCATATAAAATAACTAAAGGACAAAGTCATCTAAGATGATCATTCAAAAGTAGGAGTTGTCTAAATTAATAGGAAATACATTGACTATAATTGCTGAGCTTTTAACAATTCTGACATATATTGCTGACAAATACAAGATTCATTTTCCAAAACCAATCTTCTCTGTAAAGATTGGCAAAATTTTAAAAAATACTTGAACTGTTTTAATTGTTTATTTTCTAGAGAAAGATATAATTATCAATAAAAATGGCTCCATATAAATAGAATGTAAAATTCTTCTTTTGAATATTTTGAATGCTTAAGTTAACATTATTATAGAATGTGAATTGAGTCTTTGGTATTACAACATGGTTATTATTATGAACACATATCTTTTTACACAACAAACTAGGCCAAAGTGGAAGAAATTTCATAACAGTGAAAATATTCTGAGCCAATATTTATTTTTTAATTTTCTCATGCATTATATCCACTCAAAAACCTAGTTTTAATCAACATTAAATCTATATTTGTGTGGCTGGGTGTCATTGACTGAAATCAAGATACAAAATGATTTTTGACTGCCTTTTTATTAAAATTAAAAAATGTCAACGATGTTTTCAAGGGAAATACGATAAGTTGAAAATATTTTAGGTATGAATATTCCTGTAAATTTTACATGCTTATGTAGTGCAAGACTAATATTTTAGGGACTTTGAGTCTGGGAACAAACTCAGGTCAGGGAATTGGATGAGGAACTATGATTCTTCATAGTCATAAGTGGATTATAAAATTACCAAAGTTGTAAGTGGATTATAAAATTTAAAACACCTCAGATTTCAAATATTTTGTTCCATTTTAGGCTACAGCTCAGAAACTATGATCATTATTTTTATAACAGAAATACAGAGTATTTTTTAAAGGGAGAAAAAAGAGATTGATTATAGATGTTAGTTACAGGTGTAATTTATTATGAGTAGAATGAAATGTCATTAAAAGATGAACTTTGTATGTAAAATTCTATGGATTTCAACAGGTCACAGGAAATCTCATTGTGCTCCTTTGTCCTTCAAAACACAAAGCCAACTCTACTATAATATTATTTTTCTTAGGATGAAACTTGGGGTTCACAATTATCTCAGGATTAAGGATGAATTTATTTAAGAAATTATCTGATGATCCTAACCAATCTTAGTAGATCTAGTTTGGTTCTTATTGACCTAGATTACCTCGTACTCCCTAAATAAGTCAACTTTAAGAGACATCCAGTAGACTTTCTAATTTTTTAAAAAATGTTAGAATCATTACCTTATGCAAATCACATAGACAGGAGAAGTTTAAGAAAGAGGAGGAATGTTCCTGATGTATCTAAAAATCGGTCTTTTTTAAACTAAATCTCTTAGCACTCATCCTATGTAGATGAGTCCAGGAAATACATCAATAACTACTAAATTACAATTTCCCACAGTGAAGATATCTGAGGAGCACTAAAAACAACTGAACCAGAAAAGCCTAAATGACCTGCAGCAACCTCAGAAAGCAGAAGACAGACTTGTGTGGACAGTATGCACACTCACTAATAGCAAGATGACAAATAATAGATTACTTTTTCATAAAAATTTGTGACATTAGTAGTCACGCATCAGGACTTGATTATTGCAGTGCCTTTTCTTTATACAACCCATCATCTCTAATATTTTTAGGGACTTTGAATTCGGGAACAAACTCGGGTCAGGGAATTGGATGAGGAACTATGATTCTTCATTATTGCGACTTACTCGGGTTTCTATTTCCCACAATTAGAGTTTCATTTTTGGAAATATATGTCAGATAAGATTCAGCAGGCTGCTCACGTAGATGTATGTGAGTCCTAGGGAGACTGCGATTCTCGAGGGTCAAATGATTCCAATGAATGCTTTGGCCCTACTGCTCATTATGGCATCTATATGCATTTTGCACCTGGTGCTTAAGTCCTGAAATATAATTCCATATCCCTGGAATTCCATCATCCCATTGAAATTAGGCAGCCCATTTCAATCATGAGGTCTTCCACTGTCATCTCCAGCTTTCAGAGGGCAGCCACAATAGAACTTCCCAAGGGAATTCATACTTCTCTCACCAATATATTTATTTCTTAATGCTTTGGTGATGAAGTATTTTTGGAAACTTCCTGGGGTGTAGAGTGATGTGGGTGGATTTATGGATAACATATAATAAACTCTGAATGTTCTACTTCCTCTAGGTGTAAGTCACAATAGATTATTATACAATAACCATTCCGTAATCTCAGTAGTTTAAAACATTATAGGTTTCTGTTTCACTCACACCACTTGTCCACTGCAGGTCAGGAAGGGGTTTCCACTACTGGAGTCTTTCAATAAACCAAGCTGATGAAACAGCCACCATCCTAGATATTGCCTGTCACTGTATCAGAGGGAAGCAATGCTCTGTGAGTGCAGTGTTAACGATTAAATGCCCTGGCATTTAATAATGTGTGTCAGGTACTATTACAGCTCATTGAACTGAAGTAGTCACATACCCCCCACTAACTAAAAAGGGAGCCTGGAATTCTGCAGTGCTCCCAGGAGAAGATGAAATATTTGTCAACAAACAGTGGCTACCACACTTTCTGTTATGCCAGACAAGCCCAGCACCCCATTTTAATTTAATGAAGGCCACCATAAATATTTCTATTATGCAATCAATTAGATTTTCAATGCCAGTCTCAGATGCTCACACTCACAAACTGAATCCACACCTTTGGTAAGTATACCCATATACATACATTAGTCCCACACTCGTAAGTTTCTGCCTTCTTCATCAGTTCTCTTAGAATTCTTTAACATATCCATTTCTCAAATTTCTATCAAGGTAAATTAGCAAGATATTAAAATTCCTTTTGGTGTGAAGCTATATCTTATGTCTCCAACTTTGTAATTGTTCTTCTGGGACATGTTGGATTCTGACTCTAATATGGGTCTGATGACAATGAGAGGTGCAGATGAAGAGAATTAACATCACTTTGTATGTGACTATCTCAGGTAAAGACCTTGCAGTATCTTCAAGTAAAACGGTACTAGCTTTGTTTGTGAGAAAGGACTACTGATGGCAAAGAAGCTCATTGGAACTTGATCATTTCTACAACACAGATTCATCCAAATCTACCAATTATCCCTACCTCATTCTTAAAGTCACACTTTATCCTAATTAGTGCCCCAAGTTTCACATAAGAGATCTGGTGAATCTGTGAATTCAACCTGTGTGGGAGTAAAGTAAGTTGCAAGATTAGACTCTGTCATGTTTTTAATTATATCAACTCTGGGTATGCAAGATAAGAGATTCGTAGAGTGGTTGTAGAAGGTCTCAGGCCCTCAGATCATACCATGAGATCAAAACTTAAATTCCGGAGCACTTTATTATCTTTCTTTAGTTCCTCATTACTTTTGGAAGTGGCCAACTTACCCACAGCGCAGGTAGGTGTTCCTTAGTCCCATCATAGTGGTTTATGACAGCAGCTACATTATCTGCCAGTCACTTGCCTTAAACATCCCATTTCTTCCAGGTAGCCTCAGGTAATCATTAAGAGATAGTTCTTAATTGACCATGTTTCATTTTCTACTGGCAATGAGATCATTATTACCTTTAAGCCCAACCTGGCAAGATAATAACTCCAGGCTCCAATCCTTGTGAGTCTATTTTATAGGACTAAGTTCCAGTGCAAGAACTAGAAATCACCCTAGGTATTTCACCCAAAAAAAAAATGAATTGGGTACTTAAAATTTTACTGGAATTAAAGAAAGAGTGAATGTCATGGGACTGCCACCAGGCGGCAAGCCCATGCCATGCAAGTGCTATCCAAATAGAAAACTGTTTAGCTCTTCATTACTTTTGAAACAGTCTGAGGTTAGGAAATATCTGGAAACTGGCACTGTTACCACAGCTACCCATTCCACCAGAGAGTAGCACATGCAGCCTGGTCTGGCCTCTGAAAAACTGGCATCTGTGAGAGCCTGTCCATCAACTGTTACCATCACAGAAAGAAGAGCCTCCATCTCACGTCTACCTTACAAATTCCAGGCAGGCACATTTCTTTGGAAGGTACTTAATCCTAAGTGGAAAGACTACATAAAAATACAGATTTTCTATTGTTATTTCCAAATTGATTTATAGCAAATATAATTCCCATAAAAATCTACTTTTTTTCTGAAACTCAAGAAATTGATTCTAGAGTTCTTTTGTATAAGCAAACATGTGAGAATATCTATGGGGAAATAAAGAATAATGAAAGGAACTTAGGGGCTCAGAAATAAAAATACATTATAAATTTTTATCAGCACATAGTATGGTGATATAACATTTGTGAGATAGATCAATGGAAAAGAATAATAATCCAGAAGGAAAGCAGTGTACATAATAATGTAGTAGAGAATGATAATGGCCTCAGAAATCAAAGAGAAAATAAATAGTTGCTCAACAAGTACTATCAAAATAAATTTTAGCTATTTGTAAAAAGAATAAAAAAGCAAGTTTGAGACATTATTTCATAACATTTCTTAGACCCCATATTCTTTAAATAACTATATGTAAAATCATAAGCCAATAGAAACTGAAAATTATATTGTTAAATACAATTTTTGTGAATGAACTGCCCAAGAATAAAAAGCTCTCCTATTGCTTGATTATTAGCCAAGACCTACCCTATCTGACCTCACCCATCACCATGTGGCTTCCCTAGAGATGGTGGCAGGTGAGGGAAATTATAGAGAATAAACACCTTTGTATTAAAATATTTGGGAAGGCTGTTGCCATTTTCCAAGGATCATCCCTAACTAGCTTTGAGAAAACACTAGTTGTCGTTAAAAAAAAAAGTTAAGCATTCTTAATAAAGGTTCTAAAATTAAAACCAAAGCTACTCCTTTAAAATCAAAATCAAAACAAATAAAATATGATTATCTAGGGAAAGAAGGATTTGTAGAGGGAAGATCAAGTGCAGAGATCTTAGACGGATTTGGGTTTGCAAGTGTTCAAGAAACTATAATAAGTAAATAATGCATATTTATTTAATAAATAAATGAGGTTTTCCCAAAACAATGAGTTTGTCTTAGAGTAACATTAAGCCAATGATATAAAGTTTGAATGGACACATTTTCTTGAGTAAAGTTGCTTTAAAACAAACAACAAAAAAAACTTCTATAAACAAAGTAAAAAACAAAGTAATTATTTTCTATTTTGCTTTGCTTGAACTTTTGGTCTCTAAGTTCTTTCGAAACTGAGATCAAACCCTAATTTGTTCTGCTTTATATTGATGCACCTTCTATACCCTGGACTCCTTCCACATCTGCCACCCGTCTCCCACTATTTCTCAACAAGAGTCCTCCACTCCGGCCAAACAGGTCTATTTATTATTTGCCAAGCACACCATCTTTATTTCCATCCCAAATCCTTTGTTCTTATCGTTTCTCTGAACTGGAATGCCCTCCCTGCTTCTCTCCATGCTCTGCTTGTCATCAAAATCCTATCCACTCTTCAGAATCTAGTTCCATAACCCAGTCCCAGAAGACTTCACCCTTCCTCTCCACAGCGTTACCTCATGAAGCTCTAAATATCTTTTTCCTCAGTCTTCTTACTAATTACCTTATTGCTATTATTTCAGTTCCATTTTAGGTTGACCAATAAGTTTTCATAACTTATTTTGAATTTCAAATTTACAGAAAAGTTCCAAGTAAAGTATAATGAACTTTCATATTTACTTCACTCAAGTTCCCTAATTGTAAGTCTCTCACCAAATTTGCACTCTCTCTCCTATATTAAAAATTATGTACTAAATATGAATTATTAGACATGTTATTTTTCCAAACCATTTTAGAGTAAGTTACAGAAAAAAACAGGGATACTAAAACCAGGCTCTACCTAACTAGAATATAATCATTCATATCCGGATATCAACATTGACGCAACACTAATGTCAGTCTACAGATGCTGTGATCACATTCAACTTTCTCAGTTGTCCTCCAAATACATCTTTTTTACTTTCTAGTCCTGGATCTAATCCTGGATCTCCCATTGCATTAGTAGTCATGTCTCTTTAGTTTCCTTCAATCTGAAACAGTTCCTCTATTTTTTCCTGTTTTTCATGACATTGAGAGTTTTAAACAGTATAATCTGTTTCTGATGAATGGGCTTCACCTATTTCTATCTGATATTTCCTCACATGCAGAGTTAGGTCATACATACATCACAGAAACAATGCTGTGCTCTTCTGATGACTTCACAGCAGGAGCCACACAATCAAGTTTGTGCTAGATTTCTCCACCAGAAAGTCAACATTTTTTATTTGTAATCAATAAATATTTTATATGAAGATAAATTATTTCTATATTTAAATATATTTATATGTAAAATATGTGCAAAATATTATTTCAATGTGTAACCAATTTAAAAGTTATTAATGAGCTATTTTGAATTTTATTTCATACTAAGTCTTCAAAATCTGGTGTGGATTTTACGCTGACAGCACATCTCCGTTGGGTCTAGCCCCATTTCAAATGCTCAGGAGTCACTTGTTGCTAGTGGCTACCATATTTGACAGGGCAGCTCTAAAGCATAAACAACGCTTCCTTGGAAAAATTAGCTTTCAGAGTGTTTTCAAATGAATTTTAGAAAACTATTTAGAATCTATAAATAGGTATTTACCCATTTATTAAACCATAGAATTGAACGGGACAAGAAAAGTGAAGCCTCTGACAAAAAAAAAAAAGTAGGCAAAATTTTCCTCAGACCAAATGGAGAAATCAATTATGATCACCTAAAGTGCCCATTATCCTGTATTAATACTTTTTGTTAATACCCTAAAACCCATCAACAGATAAATAGATAAGCAAGTTGTGGCCTATATGTACAACATCCCACCTCTCTACCAACCCCACTTCTGATTTAAGAAAGCAGAAAATACCCAGTATTAGAAAATATGATTTTAATGATTTGTTCTTACACCAGTAGTTGTAATTTCCTGGAGGTATGTGTAATACAAACTATGTAGTTCAGTGCTTCTCACAGGTATTCTTTCTGCTGGACCATTTCCCTTAGTATACCCAGGTCCCATTTTCTCTATTCTTGCATTTCTATCCGAGTCTTTTCTTTCCCTGTATATTTCTCTTTCCTAAGAATACTTAATTTAAGTATAGACTGCAATAATAGTTTATTTCTCCAGATGATACTCCAAATTGGTACCTAATACACAGAAATAACTATAATGGAAGTAATCCAGAAAATGTCAAATGCATGACTCGTTGTACCAACATTAAAAAGGAAGGTAAATGACAGCTGAATTTATACTCACTTCTCACCCAAACAATTGCTTATAAAAATTGCAGGGATAGTTTACTGAGAATGATGATTTCCAATTTCATCCATGTCCCTACAAAGGACATGAACTCATCACTTTTTATGGCTGCATAATATTCCATGGTGTATATGTGTTGTGGGGTGGGGGGAGCGGGGAGGGATAGCATTGGGAGATATACCTAATGCTAGATGATGAGTCAGTGGGTGCAGCGCACCAGCGTGGCACACGTATACATATGTAACTAACCTGCACAATGTGCACATGTATCCTAAAACTTAAAGTATAATAATAAAAGAAAAAAAAATTGCAGGGAATGGCAGGTATGTATGCAGTGGCCATTTTTTGATGGGTTGTTCAGCAGCTCTCCTCTTGAGCCCCTGTTTTCTTGTAGAGCCATTTCCATGGGCACCAACTGGGCCTGACTGACCTCCTAGCCCCAGGCCTAGAGGTGGGCATGATATGCAGCTCCAGCAAATCATCCTATCTTTGGACCGTAGCAACTGACCTAGTGCTTTTCTTCTGGAATCATCAAGGGGACACTTCCTTTTTTTGCCACTGTGGCATGTAAGGACAATGTGAAGTATGTTATTTGTAGCACAGTCTCCTGCTGCATAGAAAGAAAGTCATCTTAAGAAGAAGGAAATAAAACTAAAACACAAGAAAAAGTGTCAACAGAAAGAGGGAGAAATGTCCTGATTGCATTATTTAAGCTCCTGGAACCAGGTATGCATGGCACTTACTTGAGTTAAAGTTCTGTCACTTATAGTAGGGGTCCCCAAACCTGGAGCTGTGGACAAGTATGGGTCTTTGGCCTGTTAGGAACAGGGCCGCACAGCAGGAGGTGAGCAGTGGGCAAGCAAGCATTAAAGCCTGAGCTCCTCTTGTCAGATCGGCGTGGCATTAGATTCTCACAAGAGGACAAACCCTATTTTGAATGCTGCACATGTGAGGGATCTAGGTTGCACACTCCTTATGAGAATCTAACTAATGCCTGATAATCTGAGGTGGAACAGTTTCATCTACCTGCTCCATGCCATGGCCCACCCCCGTGGAAAAATTATCTTCCATAAAACTGGTCCCTGGTGGCAAAACGATTGGGGACCACTGACTTATAGGATCATTGACTTAAATATAAAATAAAGCACAAAAACCATCAACTTCTAGAAGAAAACGTAGGAAAAACTTTGTAATCTTCAATCAAAGATTTTTTAGCTAGAACACCAAAGGCACAATACACAAAAATAATTCATAAATTGGACTACATCAAAATTAAGATCATCTGCTATTTGAAATACAGTATTAAGAGAATGAATGAGAAAACACAGACAAGGAGAAAATATGTGCAAATCTCATATATAATAGAATTGTACCCTGAATATATTAAAAATACTATTAAAATGTAATAATGAGAAAGCAAGAAAAACAACAAAAGAGGCAAAATAAATTGAACATCTACTTTACCAAAGGTGTACAGATAGCATGTAAGCACATAAAAAGATGTTAAACAGTATCGGGCATTATGGAACCACAATAAGATACTATGGTATACATATTAAATTGTCTAAAATTTAAAAACACAGCTCATACAAAGTGTTGGCAAGAATGTGGAATTCTCATATACTGTTGATGGGAATATAAAATGGTACAACAATTTTGGCAAACATTTTGACAGTCTATTAAACTAGACTGACACCTATTAACCTAATATTTACTCAAAGTAATAAAAACATCTGTACATTAATGTTCATCAGAAGTGTTTATTTGTGTAAGTACTAAACTGGGAGCAAACCCAAAAACCATCAACAGGCAAATGGATAAACAAGTTGTGGCCTACTTTACAATACAGTACTACTCAGTAATAAAAATAATGTCCAATTGATGCCTGAAATATAGTAGAATCTCAAAATAATCATGCTACATAAAAGATGCCACAGCCCCCAAAAAAGGGTTCATACTACCCTTCATTTATATAAATGTCTAAACAGTGCAAACTAATCTACAGTGATAGCAGGCAGATTAGTGATTGCCAGGGAGAGTGGTAAGGTAGGAAAGTACAGGAAGGTTGGGTTTACAAAATGGCAAGGGGAAATTTTTGTGAGTGCTAAATATGTTCATCATTTTTATATTGGTGATGAGTTTTTCAGTACATACAAAGAATAACATTCACACAACGGAATTTAAGAAAGTATTTTCATTTCAGTCTTTTTTTTTTTTTTTTTTTTTTTTTTTTTAAGACGGAGTCTTGCTCTGTCGCCCAGGCTGGAGTGCAGCAGCGCGATCTGGGCTCATTACAAGCTCCGCCTCCCAAGTTCATGCCATTCTCCTGCCTCAGCCTCCCGAGTAGCTGGGACTACAGGCGCCCGCCACCACGCCTGGCTAATTTTTTTGTATTTTTAGTAGAGATGGGGTTTCACTGTGTTAGCCAGAATGGTCTCAATCTCCTGACCTCGTGATCCGCCCACCTCGGCCTCCCAAAGTGCTGGGATTGCAGGCGTGAGCCACCGCGCCTGGCCTATTTCAGTCCTAAATAACCAGAATTGACATCTGTTGGCTGAAATTTGAGAGATGGAAGAGAGGAAGGAGACCTCCTCCTCCAATGAATAATACTAAAATTCAGCAGTTCCATTTCCATCTCTGCAGTGATGTTGCATGTGAGTGAGCTACTCTATTTGCTTGGGCAGCTCTCCTCTTGAGCCCCTGTTTTCTTTTAGATGTGCTCAATAAGAAACATCTTGTATTTGCTTTTCCTTCTTCTCTAAATCTTACACATCTCAGTGGATGATAGGAAACAGTGAAGCAATCATTTTTCTTTTTCTTTTTTTTTTTTTTTTTGAGATGGGGTCTCACTGTGTCGCCCAGGCTGGAGTGCAGTGGCGAGATATCGACTCACTGAAAGCTCCGCCTCCTGGGTTCACACCATTCTCCTGCCTCAGCCTCCCGAGTAGCTGGGACTACAGGCGCCCGCCACCACGCCTGGCTAATTTTTTGTATTTTTAGTGGAGACGGGGTTTCATCGTGTTAGCCAGGATGGTCTCGATCTCCTGACCTCGCGATCTGCCCGCCTCAGCCTCCCAAAGTGCTAGGATTACAGGTGTGAGCAACCGCACCCGGCGAAGCAATCATTTTAAAGTTCTGAGGAAAGATTATTTCCAGCCTAAAAATGTATGTCTAATTATCATTAATCTGGATTCCCTAAAAACGGAGTCTGAGGCAAAAGTTAAAGGCCCGAGATTTATGGGAGGTCTTAACTGAGAGGAGCAGAAGTAAGGTGTTTTCACTCTGTCTGGAATGCTCTCCCCTGAGATACAAACATGGTTCAATCTTTCATTTATTTTTGATCTCTGCTCAAATTTTCTAGACCTTCTGAGATTTTTCTATAGAAAATAACACTCCAACATCACTAACTTCCTTACCATACTTTTTCTTTATATACATGTATGTGTATGTGTGCAGATAGATATGTTGACATACATCTACATATATATGATACATGAATAACATGTTGTTGTTGTTATTTATCTATATACCTCTAACCCCAAAATAAAAGCTCTTTTTAGATAAGAACCTAGTTTGCATTCATTTTGTCCTACTTAATCTCGTTATCTTCAGTTCCTAGAATAGTGCATGGTACACAGTAGGAACTCAATAAACAACAATAACAAAAAAGCCTTTTGAATGAAATCATCGTTACAATTCACGTATGAGGTAAAATATATTCATTTTCAGATATTCAAGATCTTAAAAAATGCATCTTACATGCACACTATCTGTGGAAGCAGCAATCAAAAATGGAGCAGAACAAAGTAACAGCTTCACACTGTCCAGAGAGTAACCAAATCAGAGGAGGAAGAAGCCAGGCTGTAGGAGAGACATCTCCAAGGCGAGAAAACACTTAACTGAAAGATAGTTTAAAATTTTATAAACAAATGGGAAAACTATTTTGGGGCAAATGTAAGATAAGTAGTAGTATTTGAACAAAACTGAGCAAATAGGTACAAAGAAAATTAAACTGATATAGAGTGAAATAATTATTGAACTCAAGGAAGAAAGTTGTATTTTTAAAAGGCAATACAATCATAGCATGTAACCTGGGTCTGTAATGAATAATAGCTAATTAATCACAGTATTTGCTGACTACAGGCTTAGGTAAAGATTATGCTACAAGTTCTGAACTGCTGGAGAGGTGAGGAAGAGCAATTGACAGGAAAGTGGTTCCCAAGTACATGTCCATTGTCAAAGGGCAATTTCTAGAGCCTATAAGTCAGAGACTGTAGTATCTGGTTTAGAGTTACGAAGGAATTAAAAACGGAAAGTGCTGGCCTCAGAGGACTAGGATTCGACTTTACAAAAGTAAACTGCACATTTATTACCTTGATAAAAATAGTAATTTTCTAGAGAAAATAATCTTAAGAATTAAATTGTGGGAAGGGGCCTAGAGTAGTCGATGCTGTGAAACGGGATGTTCTAGAACCAAGTTTAACAGAATCTCTGTGGGGCATAAACGTCCCAACAAAATCTGCTTTCACAGGAATGCCAACTAGCAAAGAAGAAAATGCAGCTTCCACCATCACTAAAGAAAAAGTTTCTTTGTTTATATATATACTATTCCATGTATCTAAAAAGTTGAGATAAGGGATCAATTGCATCATAATGTTTAAAAGAAATTTCTAATTCTTTCATCCTGAATGTACCTGCTTAGCATAATGCCATAATTTTCTATATAATACATTTCAGCCTATTTTCTACAAATATTATTCTGGGCATCTCTTGTTATAAATTTTATGAACATAGTGGAGGATGATGAAAATGCTTATTTATTGAATTTTACAGAATTTCAGATATCTTTACCTATGGTATTAAACCAAGTATTTCTAAATCAAATTTTAATCTCTAAGAAATCTATTTAGAAAGTTTAATACATTATGATGAAAAGATAATCCTGGAATATATGGCTTTGCACATTATGCAGATTCTGCAAATATTTGTTAAATTGAATTAAAATCTCCACTAAAATTTCCCATTTTCCTAAATGCAATTTCAATGGTTTCCTAAGGCTACAAGAACTCAAAGTCTCACACACACACACACACACGCACAATATTGATATAATCAGGGGAGGTGTGATCTCAGGCAAAACTGAAACTATTTTTGAAAAGTTTTCCAATTCTTTTCAGTGGAGACATTTTGAATATTTTACTTTTTGTAATTTGTTTTTTGCCTCCATCTTTGCTATATAAAGAAAAAGTAACGTACAAGCAATTGTTGAGCTCTTCAAAGAAGCTTTGAATAGAGACTCTGGAAACTATTCTTGCTCTTTCTTTTCAGGTGTAGATGTCTTTGAAAAATCTCAAATTAAAGAAATACAGAAATAGAAATATTCTATTAAATGGGATACATAGTATTGTCTTTATAATAATTATCTTTGCTTTTGTTGTTATTGTTATAGTTAATAATTCATTGCAGATTACTTCCACTATATTTTATTTCTTAGTTAAGAAATCTTGTTTATTTGTTTTACATTATTGTCAGCCCAATTCTATTTGGAACTGTAATATGGGCATTAACAGGGCTTTGTTAGGGCTTTAGATACTCCAGGAATAAATGGATGTATATCAATGCATTCACAAGTTTTAATATCGTAGAAATAGTGTTCAAAACTGTGCTTTTGCCTAAACTTGTCTGGCCTTCAACATGGTTCAAATCCAGTTAAATTCTTATTTCATCTAAACAGCTGCTATCTCCTTTTTTGTACAACTTTGCCTCAACTATAATAAGGCAGCAATCTAAATTTGCCTAACAATTGGACTCTATCCACAGAACTTGAAGTGTGTTCTAGCCAAATGCAGATTAAATTGGCTAAGTAATAATGCTCTTCAAATTGCTGTAGCCTATTCCAACAACAAAATGTAACTCCTAGGAAACAACTAACAAGCAAACAAGATGTTCTTCAAGTTATAGGCTCTATATGTTACACTGAAACACAGTATGATGCCTTTAAAACATCTACAGAGGGAAAGTGGGATCAACAAAAGCCCAGCTGTGACCTCACTATTTGGTAATTGTGCTTACAGCTGACTCCTTTACTTAACTCCTAATTGTGCACATTTTTGGCAGGAATAGCACTAATCACTGATCAAGCCTACCTTTTAAAAAGTGAACAGTAGAAGGCTTTGCCACCAGTGATCATTTCAGTAAACTGTAACTCTAGTCACTGGCTGGAACTTACACTGTAGAATGCAAGCGCTCAGAATTAACATCATCATACTATTGAATTCAAAAGAAATCCAGAATATCAGGGCATCCAGAGAAGATAGAGAAGGTCCTCTGAATGTGACTCATCACTCACATTTTGCTTTGATTTGATTACTATTTACTGTATTACATGTGGAGAATATAAGAAAAATATTTCTTTCCCTCGTTTTTAATGCTAACCCTAAAATGGTAAGGCTCTTTCAGGTTGAAATCACCAGGCTCAGACTGGCTCAACGGAAGGTCAAGAGGTAGTGAAGTCACCTGTAATGGTAAACACGCAAACACTTCCAAGCTGAACAAGTCTGGACTCAGTTCTTGTAGTTCCCAAATTCACAACTCTCTTGGGACAGGTTGATTCAGCTACAAAGAATGAGAAATTCCACCCCAGAGAATTATTTTATAAAAAGTTATTCACATCTAATAATCTCAAGAGATAGAAACACAGCAATGTCGAAAATTACCTATTAATTATTAATCCTTGGAGAAAAAATTAGACAATTGTTTTTGAAAACATGAAAAACTTCATATAATAAAAATTAAGACTCTCACATGTGATTCCATTTCTGTTCATTAATTACGGAGAAGTTAATAATTGCTAAATTGCCAGCAGTAAAAAATAAATCATTCATTACAGGAAAAGTACAGAGTTTTTACAAAAAATAATCAAGAATATTCTATTGGCTTTGGAGCTTCTGACATGTAAGACTTTTACCACTAAATATATGAAGCTCATCAACTGGCTTAACTTTCTATGTAATTTAAGCTTGATTTTCATTCAAATAGTACAATAGTTAATATTTTATTTCATATTTTAAAACTCATTGATTAGTCATTTAGTAATTTTTTTTCTGACAACTCCATCTCACTTTTAGAAATAAACTCTTTGAGGAAATAATAAGCTTGACTTCAAATTTTCAACACTGAGTAATTTTGAAAGCATGCCGATACAGAAAAAAATCATATGGATAGACTCTAATATGGCCAGAGATGTTAGCCAAAAGCATGGCACTCAAAAAGAAAGGGAAAAAAAAAAAAGCAAAAGAGAGGAATGCTTATCTTTATAGGGGACTATATGTGCCCTTTAAAAAGTGTTTATTTAAAAATTATAATATTTACAAGGTAGTTATTTACATTTGCTTAAAGCATAAGTCTCCTTAGTAGACTAAATCACATATATTTTGTAGTGATTAGAGAACATTTTGGTCACTCTGGCAGTGAAATATATCTTGGAAACCTTAAAAAAGTAAAACAAAGTAAACCTAAATGTGTCACACCAATATTCAGGCCATATCAGTTCATAATAATCGCATCAAAGCTGAGGGTCCTCTGTGGTCAGTATTTGCCAAGTCCTCTTGGTCATCTAAGTTATTGTTTACAGTGCTTTCGCTTTGCCACTTCTCCATTCAAAACCCTGTAACTTTTCTTCAATCTCCTCTAAGTAAAACACTAATATCATAGCCTGGCATTATGGTGCTCAGTAATCTGGCCCTACTTGAATTCTACACTAGTTCCATAACTAGAACCCTTTCTAGCTCTACAATATTCACATGCTGACATCATTGCCAGAATTATTTGTAAGGAAAATACCCTCTTTCTCTCCCATGTTCCCTGGGAGCATATTAATTAAGTAAGAAAAAAAGTTTGAGAATGGCAGCCTCTGCTTCTCTCCTTCATACTCTCACTCCTTTCTGAAGATGCAAAATGACTTATCTAATTGGAAACCTTGGAATTTGCATACCTGCAAGGAGCATGAAGTATCCTGTCTTTTCTTGCTGAGAGTAAATTAACGAAAGAGGCTCTGCTTCCATACACCAGACAGGGTGCAGTTTTAACAAGGGGCAAGTTCAATTTGTAGGTGAATTATTAGGATGCCCCTTTGGTTGCTTTTTCTAAGCCAAACACTTTTACCTAGCCCTTGCACTAATACTGTAAATGTGGTTCTCTCTCTGACTCCTCTATTTCCTAACCAATTTGTACTTTTTAATGGAGTGAGGGATGTGCTTTAACATTGCTCCTTAAATTCCAACATTAGGCTGTACAAATCTTACACTTGGATCAAGTTTGTTACTTGCTAATCATCACTAAAGACACATGACCCTTCACTGTCTTAGTCATGTCATTCCCTCTGCCTAGAACAGCCTCCTGTTTCCCATGGCTACCTGATTAAACCAGACCTCAGGATCTTCCTCTACCATTTTTCTCCCAATGAATGGCGTGAGCATCCAACTAGTTGTCATTGCCAGAAATCCAGATACTGTCTTTGACCCCTCTCCATTCTTTCCCACTTTAACAACCCATCATCAGGCTTGCCAATATCATCCTACAAATCTCCCTTGAGTGTTTTTTGCATATCTTCATCACCACCACCACCACCCAAATAGAACCCAGTGACCCTCCTTCGTGGACCACTGCCATAAGCCCTTAAGTCTGTCTTCCTGCTTCCACCTTGCCTCTTGCTTCGAAACTCTCAACCTTTCAGCCAAAGTGATCTTCTCTAAACGCAAATCTGATCATGCACCACATCATGTTGGCCTGCCCAACAGCACACACTTTTAAAACATTCCATGTCTTCTAGTTGCACATAGAATAAAGATTTACTATTTTTTTTCTTTTTGAAACAGGGTCTCACTCTGTCACCCAGGTTGAAGTAGAGTGGCACCATCATAGCTCACTGCAACCTTGAACTCCTAGGCTTGAAGCGATCTTCCTGCTTCAGGCTCCTGAGTAGCTAGGACTACAAAGTGTGTGCCCCCACACCCAGCTAATGAATAAAGATATACTTTTTTTTAAAAAGGCAAAATTTAATTTTTTGTTCAGGCTGTTTGTTCCTGTGTTCCCTGGCTTTCTCCAGGCCAATTACCCTGGTTTTCTTACAGTTGCTGGTTTCAGTCATCTTTGCTCTTCACAGGATTTTGTACTTGTGTTTCCCCAGACCTGAAATATTTTTCCTGTTTCTCTCCATGTGCTTAACTTTCTAAACCTCTGTTCACTTGCCGCTTCTCTGAAAATTATTTATGGCTTTCTTGACTAAGAAAATATTTTCAATTTTTCCTCATGGATCTAAATTCCTCTGCTTTGTGGGATTTGTCCCATTTGTGATTTTGCATTGCATTTTTATCTGATTATTTGTAAAATATCAGTATACGTCACCAAACATAAGCCCCATGAGGACAGAGGCTGGAACTGATTTTGCTCACGTAGCACAGTCCTGGCACACAGTAATTGTTCAATAAATATTGGTTAAGTGTATATATAAATGCATAGATGGATAGACAACCTCCCAAAGTAGTTGCAGTATTAAATTAAAGCCCCCTCTGGCCTACTAATTGATTCTTTTGGGAGCAGCAAAACTGGCCAGCCAAGGCTCTTCTTTAGGACTGTGGTGTAATTGCATCTGCTTTGTTGTAATGTCTCTTGGGGAGAAATATCCCTGACTGAGAGTGATCAAGGAAGGGAGTACAATTGTTGTCAGAGGAATCCTGTAGGTAAAGAAATAGAGCTGTGGAAAAGAAAACGATGTTCAAACAAAGGTAAATAAATTGATTGCACTACCATGTTAAAAAAATAAATGCTTACATGCCAATATCCAATTGATTTACTTAATTAAAAAACTGACTGAAAATATAGTAGTGAATAGAGTAAAAGGTCTCTCTATCTTCACAGAGCTTACATTGCAGGCTTGGGAAAATAAAAACAAAGAGTAAACAATCCTTCACCTATTGCTGTTGGTATAAATTGGTACTACAATTCTGGTAGAGGTTTTGCCAATACCTACTCAAGCTGAAGAGATATATTTATACATACATACATATATATATATACATATACATATACACACACATATGTATATATATATATGTCTGTGTGTGTGTGTATATATATATATATCCTTTAATTATCTTTGTGGTTATAAATCTACAAAATTGCACAAATTTTTCCTTAAAAAACATGCACAAGAATGTGTAGAGAAGCATTGAAAAATATAGCAAAAATCAGCAAAATGTTCATAGACAGTTGAATAAATAAATTGTAGTGTATGCATAGAATAGAACATTTTAGAGTAATGAGCATGGGCAAACCAAACTACAGCCAACACCAGAGATGAGTCTCACAAACAATGTTGAGCCAAAGAAGCCGGGCAAAAATGAGAACAGACTGTATGAGTCCATTTATGTAAAGTTCAAAAACAGGCAAAACTTATCTTTGGCATAAAAAGCCAGGATATAAATTATCTTGGGGAATTGGTGATTGAAAGGAAGAGCGAAGGTTTCCAGGTTGTTCATACTCTTCAGTCACTGTATTTCATGGGTATATTCATTTTGTAAAAATTAAGTAAGCATTTCTTTTATAATTTAGGTACTTTCCAGTATATGTATTAAATATAATTGAAAACTTATTTTTTTATTTTCAATTTACCTCTTGTATTTCCTTCTCAGTCATTTTTTGTCATTTCTACTTTTCTGGAAAAATTGTCATTTCACATAAATTCTCCAATTTAATGGCATAAAATTATATTTACAATGTTATCTTATTATGTTTAAAACTTGACTGTATCTATAAATATTCCCTGTTGTTTTTCCTCATATTTGGACTTTCTATTTCTTTCTTGCTCTTAAAATAACTTTTCTACTTTATTAATCTTTTCAAAGAACAACACTGATTTCATTGGCCCTATTATTATCCCCAAGTAACAGGTGGGTCATAAAGAAGTTAAGTAACTTGCCTGAGGTTACACAGGTAGTCTGACCCTGCTCTCCCCACCATTGAACAAACTACCTCACACAGGAAATACACGTGCAATACGACTTCTAAAGATACATAAAATCACATACACATACACATACACATACACACACACACACACACACACACACACAATTTGCCTAAACTCTGAATTTATACTGGGTTTACCTGCAGAAAGGACACTAGAATTGACTGGGAGTGCAGAAGGTCACATGAAAATTAGCATTCTCTGTGATATTTTTCTTGTTTGTTTTGTAGAGATGGGAGCTCACTATGTAGCCCAGGCTGGTCTTGAACTCCTGGGCTCAAGCAATCCTCCTGCTTTGGCTTCCCAAAGCACTGCTTCTATAACGTTTAAAAACACTTATAAACAAAATAAATTCACGTAATTTTGTTATCCATGGATTGAATTAAATTAAAAATGAGAACAGATATAAAAGATACAAAGATCAAACCATCCCTTCCTGATCTTTCTCTTGCTGTTCATGTTAGCTCATCACTTCCAAGGCAACCCAGCCTGCAGAGCTAGACTTTCTCACGCTGCCAACTTTATACATTCTTACCCTGAAGCCATTTTACCTCTGCTGAACCACATCCCTGATGTCAGAGAAGGACTTTGCTTTATATTTGTGTATATAAAGAGCCTATGTGGTTCACTTTCTGAATATTTCTTCCTTAATGATTAAAATAATCTTGGTGTCTGGGAGCCAGGCACAGCAATGTGGGGTGAGGGTAGAAGGCAGAAACTTGCAATGCATGAGCTCCGTCAGCTATTTCAACATATCTTTGCTCCCCAGCTAAATATAATAGAAAGTTTCTTAAAGGCTTGATCTTATGCACCATTGATTCCAAACAACTAATTTCTTGCCTTATACATACTGCAAACTTATTCACAGTTCATAATAAATTATCCATCGGAAAGTGTTCTAAACAAAACGTGTTCTCTTTGTAGAACTAGTAGTGAACCTGAATGCTTACAAAAAAAATGTTTATTTAGGATTACCAGCATAATGATGTTTTCTAATATTTGTTAAGTACTTTTAGATGTTTAGCACCATGCTGGGGAAATACTATAAAAACTTTCTTATAATTAACCTCCTACTCAAAAGGTTATACATGATCCAAACTTTTTCCTTTTCCTGCCAACACTGAGGAATGTCATACAAAGAAGTCTTGAGGTGAGTAGAAGTGATAAAGACAAAAAATTTAAAAGAAAGGGAAAAAGTTTTCTGCAAACTTGTTGCCACACATTAGTCTTACATGAATTTATCCATTAATTATGTTAATGCTGAATGGACCACATTACCTAAAGTTGTACAAGTGATTGCCCCAAAACTTAACTTCCCCAAGAAACTGGAATAAACAAAAGCGAACTCTCTTTGAAGGAAGTCACATCTATCTTAGACCTTGATGAACCTTGAAAATAATTTTCTCTAGGCAATGACTAGCAAGCAGCAGAAGATAACATGCTCACAAAGAAGTAAGACAATGTGAAAGACGCCAGAAGAGAAAAATAACAGAAACAAATCTGCAAAGACATCAAATATTAGACTTATCAGACAAAAATATTAAAAACAACTATGCTTTTATGCAATGTACCCATGTAACAAACCTGCACAGGTACCCTGAATCTATAATAAAAAATTAAAATAAAAAACTATGCTTACCAGGTTCAAAAAAATAAATAGCAAATGGAAGTATCTGCTGAGGAGAAGAAAGTGCAAAAAAGATTTAAAAAATAACTAAATGTTGGAATTAATAATACCATGACTAAAATTAAAAACTTGTTAGCCACATTTGAACATGTATCCACAACAAGAATTGGCAAACTGGAAGACATATCAGAAGAAATTACCACATATGCAACAAAGGTCAGTCTCAGAAAACTTAAGTGGTAAGTCCTCAAGACATTCAAAATTTAAAAATAAAAAGCATAGTATTGATCATATATAACCACTTCCAAAGAATAGAAGAAGTGAAAACACTGCACAACTCAATTTCTGAGGACAAAACAAGAACTTTAGGACAATCTCATTTATGAACACAGATATAACAATTCTAAACCAATTACTAATAAACTGAATTTTGCTATATATATAAAATGAATAAAACCATGAATCACTTTATCTCAGGACTACAGAATAAGTTGAACATTGTAAAATCTACGAATATATATAAAATAAACATAGAAAAAGAGGTTGGTTAAAAAAAACTTTTGCCAAACTGAAAATAAAAGGGAACTTTCTGAATATATGATGTGTCTAAAATAAGCTACAGCAAATGTACATGATGAATTATTGAAAGCTCCTTTTTGATATCATGAACATGTTAATGATGCTGCTATCAACCCTTTTATTAAACTTTGAATATGTTATCCTATCCAACAGGGTAAAATGAGAAATTAGGCATACAATGGGACTGGCAAAGCAGAATTATTCAATAAATTCATACTTGGACAATGGGTTCTGCACTGGGAGATTGGATACCTACAAAGCAACTCACACAAAGCTCTTTTCAGATAGACTAAGGATTTAAAACTTTTAAAACAGAATATAGGAGAAGATTGTTTTAACTATGGGGTAAAGAAAATTTCTTAAACATGGCACAATATAAAAATCATACATAAAAATATCTGTAAATTTGACTAGATTAACTTTAAATACTTTTGATTATCAAAAACTTATAGAAATATGTTTCAATAAAGATGGTGGAAAGTCAAGTGATAGCTGAGAGAAAATATTTAGAAAACACATATTACTTATAAAAGATATGTATTTAGAAAATGTATATTACAGAATGTGTATGAATCAAAATGAAAAATAAAAACATTAAAAATAGGACAAATTACAAGTCTTAAAACACAAACGACCAATAAGTTTGTTAAGATGTTAACTTCATTCATAACTATGGAAATGCTAGTTAAAACTATAAATGATCTATCTTTCTAATTCACCATTTTGTCAAAGAGTTATGTCTAATACTTTTAAGAGTTGGTAAAGACATGGAGCACTTGGAATTCACAAATAGCCACTAGTAACAGAACTGATTTATAAGTTGATGTATATTCATATTATGCAGCAGTGAAAATAGACAACTATGGCTATTTAAAGCAATATGGAAAAATATTTAAAAATAATTATGAATGAAAAAAAATACCAAGCCACCAATGAAAACTTGTAGTAGGATTTCATTTACATAAAGACAGGTAATGCTGAAAAGTATATTGTTTAGAAATACAATTGGATGATATAAATTATAACACAAAGTTCAGATAGTAGTTACTTTGGGGTGGGAGATTAGTAGGAGACTTTAGAGGTATTCATTTCACAGGAATGTGAGAGGATTTTATGAGCCCAGACTGAAAGTTTCATGAGAGCAGAGACTAATATTTTCTCTTCTCCATTTTATTTCCTGAGCCTAGAAAAATGTATGGCACATTGTAGTTGATCAACACACATTTATTGGTTAAGTGAATGAATAAATGCCCTTTGTAAACTGTAAAGCTATGGAAATCATGACTTTTTTATTATTTACTGTAGTTTATTTGATATAATCAAATAGAAGGTAATTAGTTTTAACATTGAGGGAACATTATTGAAAGTTTTATGTTAACCCAGAACACTTTGGCAAAATAAATTAAATTTTTAGTTTCTACATTTCTGACAATTGAAATTACATTTCAATTGCCAAATAAGGATGAAACAAATATGAAATCTGACTTCAGGTGAGCATAATTTGAGAAGCAACGGCAAAAAAAAAGATAAAAATTTCATTTGGTCAGATCTGCAAGTTCTACTATATAAAGTTTTCTTTAGAAAATACTTCACAAGTTGGAAGTTTGTGAAATGTGGTTAACGTGTAAGTAATTGAACGTGTTTGTGAACTCAAATGCCCCATCTACCAATGTGTCTCCAATTAGAAAAAGGCATCAGATGAATTAAATGTTAATTATATTTGAAGTGTGGAATAAAGCCATAGTAATCCATTGTACATTTGCCAGTTTTCTGATTTTTTGGCTCCATTACCCAATTGTCCTGCTGAAATGTTTGTATATTGTATGTGAAAAATATGTATTTGCATGTCCATTAGGCAAAGTCATATAATCCACACTATATATTGCTCCCTGCTGTGTTTAATGGAATCTATCCAATGAGTGAGCAAAGTCTTCAAGTTACAAACAATATTCAAAGAAGACTTTTATCTCAACCAGACACTATGTTTTGGTCATGTTACTCACCCAGAATATTTTTATATACATATAATTTGAGACAGATCACCAATAAGAGAGATTTGTTCAGAAGAAGAATTGCATGTTTTGAAGGTCAAGTTTATTTTATTTAGTTTTTTTTTCCACCTATTGACTTGTCATATCTCTGGAATTATGTCCAACTAAACTTGAAAATATTGTAAAATGCCATGAAAGTAATATATTGAGGAAATGTGGTTTATTCTGGGAATGGGCAGTCTACACATATTAATAGGCTTTCTTTGCACCCACCTCGGCAACTAATTCTGAATAGATGTCCTTGATGTATTTAAGAGACAAGGTGATAAAAGATTAGAGAGCTGTTTTCTTTCAGAAGCTGGCTCATCTAAGAAAGCACCAGTATTTGAAGAAAGTTCTCTTTTCAAAGTTTGAGTTTCCATCTGTATATACACAGAACAGTGTATTATGCTAAAACATTTGGTTTCTAAAATGGCAGCCAAAGTTGTTGTCTGTCTGAATCTATTTTGGACCATTGTATATTCAATATGACATAAAAAATAGACCTTTTATGTTGTAAGTAATCTAAAATTGGTGTATCCAAACAAATTTTACAAATAACTGTAGAGTTCAGCAAACTGTGTATATAATGACACTAATATCTCTACTTTTTGATATCCAAATTCTTTCTTGGAAGAGACGGTTTCTTGAAAAATGCCTCCACAAATTCAGGCTTATTTTATCATATGGTAAAATAAAATAAAGAAATGGGTAATTTGCCATACTACATGAATGCTGGCACTGGATAAAATGTCAAATATTTTGATCAAAATTATTTAGACAGTAGATTTAACTAACTTCTTGATTTTTAACTATAATGATAGACACACTTTCACAAAGATTTCATAAATGAAACCTATTATGTTTTAGTTATTAGTAATATATATGATATCAAATATCAATATTGAGTGGATATTCATCAATAATTTGGTGCTTTCAAATATGCAGATGTCTGGTTTTAATCAGATGAAATCTGGGGATAGTTGACTAAATTTGTTTCCTTTTTTCTATGCCCTGTTCAAAATCTTCCAGCCTATCTCAACATTGACTGAGGATGGGTAAAGAAATCAACTTTTTTTCAAATCTCATAGGCCTATTAAATTGTTTAATAAAAAGGTTTTCTGTCTTTCATTTTATTTACAGAGATTTAGGTCTAGTCTAATCTGTTCAACCTGTTAATCATTGTCAGGTGCCAGATTCTAATTTGTTCTCAATATGCCTGTTTGACTTTTCATTCCATATTCTTTGAGTTAAATTTCGATTACTTATTTGAATGTTATTTAATACAGCTCCTACATTTAAAATAAAACCAGCAGGTAAAATGAATTCTGGCTTAGTATAAAGAAGTTGTTACCAAATTAGTGTTACACATACAGATGGATGTGGCTCAACAACGATTTAGACAAAAGAAACAATGACTTGAACTGACATGTATGGCTGTGACTCAGCCTCTAACGAGCTTGTGAATAAATCCAGATTTCAGCACATTGATCCAGTTGCTTTCAGTACCTCTAGAAGGCGGTATATCAAGAATCCCCACGCTACTGTTTGAGAAAACAGATTCTGCTGCTACCTAAGAAATCAACTGGAAGGCATTTTTATAACCTTACACCACATAAGGAAAAGTTGAAAAGCAGTACTAATACATGCAAACTACATCACTTGGAGAAAGATGATCTAGAATATCACTTTTAATATTTGACTATTTAAATTTTTGGTAAAATACTATCAGCCTGAAGAAGAGGAAAAACATCTTAAAAAAAAAAAAGCAAAATCTCACACACAAAAAATCTAACATCCACTAATGCATACATATTCATCTTTGTGTTGGGAAAATCTAAAGTAGAACATTTTGGTGGACTTCCTACAGCCTATTTTAACAATATAGGTATGCTGGTTACACTATTTAGATTTAATTTGAGTGAAACATATCCACACCATAAAAATATTGCTTTGTACTATTAGAGTGATAAATGTAAATGGCATCCCTAGTCCTTAAACCAACATAGATGGCAATCCAATCTCCTAGTTCCCCTAAACTGTGCCCTCATTAAGGCTCAAAGATGGAGTGAAAGGGAGCAATCCTGGAGCAAGGGAAACAAGAGGGAGAGACAGGATGGTTAGCTCTAAGGCTCAGGGATTGCCTGGAGGCCCCCGATATGAGGATGTCAACAATGACGCTTACTGGGTAATTACAGACATAAAAAAGTGAAAACACCATGACTTGAATTTGGGGATAAGGAGTCTCTGGGATCAAAAATAGTTGTGCCAAAAGGAATGAGTCAGAAGGACATGTATCTAAGGCAGTGGTTCCCAACCTTTTTGGCACCAAGAAATGATTTCCTGGAAGACTATTTTTCCAAGGATGGTGGGTAGGGGGCTGGGGGTGGTTTCTGGATTAAACTCTTCCACCTCAAATCATCAGGCATTAGACTCTCATAAAGAACTTGCATCCTGGATCCCTCGCATGCACAGTTCACAATAGGGTGCTTGCTCCTATGAGAATTTATGGCCCCACTGATCTGACAGGAGACAGAGCTCAGGTGGTAATGCTGCTTGCCTGCCACTAACCTCCTGCTATGCAGCCCAGTTCCTAATAGGCCACAGGTACCAGTCTGCTGCCCAGGAGTTGAGAACCCTGGTGGAAGGATTATTAAAAGGAATGTTTAGAAACACATTAATGTAAGTTCCAAATGTTATTAAAGTAGCAACATCCTTTTCGGTAATGTCAGCTTCCCCAAACTGTCCATGCCCTGAGAATCTGAGCTAGTGCCTAACACATGGTAGGCAATGAATTCTTAATTTTAAAAAATTTGCAGTGATTTCATGCATTTCATTGAAATCTGTTTCATGTATACATCTCATCTAGAGGCAGTACCCAGTACCTCTTTCCCTTAGTCTCTTCTGGGGTTCCCTGTTTCCTAACACCAAACTTAATTTGAACTCCAGCTATTTTGAAAACCCCCAGATGTTAATAAAAAGAGAGCAGAAATGAAGCCAAGTTACCCCAAAGAGTCCACATCCGATATACAGAACAAATGAACCCAAAACTCCACAAGCCAAACAACAGTGGGTTTTAAATTCAACCTAAATTCCAAGGTAGCAGGCAAAACTATTTGCAAAAATTAATCAAGAAACAATGAGAACCCCTAAATCTGTTACTCCAGGGGAAATAGTGAAATTCTCATTGTGGCATTTTTAAGAAAGGATAAGTACATCAAATATGACAAAATATACCTACCCAATCATAATGAAATACCTTTGAAATATGAATGACTTTATTCTTATTCTCAAGTGTTTAATATATTTAGACAACGATTTAAGGGAAAACTACTCATAGCTACCATGTAGAAGTCAAGACAGCCTGGGTGGGGGTGGAGATAGTATGTATTAATAATGAAAATTGAAGCTCCAAGGTTGTAAAATAATTTCTCCTGGTCACACAGCTACTGACCCAAATAAAGCTCAAATGTGTTTGTCTAACTCTAAAATTATGCTTTTCCCAAGGTGGACAACGTTGAAGTGACAGTTAAATCTGGCTCTCAGAGTTAGTGGTTGGGAATACATCAAGAGAAGTACTGTCATCCTTCGCTTTGTATTCTCTAACATAAACATTAACTTCTCTGATATGTCAATATTCACATTTCTAACATAGCCATCTTATAATTAAGTCTACTTAAAACACTGTTAAATTGGAAATTTAAATGGTCACAAAATTACTTGTCATGAAAGCATGCATCTTTCTCAAGTTTCAGTTCCACATTACACTTCCTATCCATTCAAAATTTTTTTAAGAAATTGACATAGTCAAATAAATTTATCATATCGAACGTTTTATAGTTAAAAATATTTGTATTTCAGTTCCCTGTTATATTTACTTATGATCAAATCTGAATTCCCAAACACAGTAAAAACTAAAGTATTTTTTCAGAGGTCCAAGGGACTTAAGCTTACTAGTATCCAATGCTCCCTGGTAAAACTAACAGACAAATAAAAACTCATCTTTTATCAATAATATTTTCATAGTTTTATGCCTAAGCACCTAAGCATCAGGGACAGGACTCTGAATGATATTCAATGCATATTTAAATCGACATGGTAGAAAATGTTCATCAGAGTCAAACAATTGATGGGTAGGGCAACATAATGCTCAATAAAACCATTCAGGGTATGTTTGCCAAACAAGAAGGTCTTGTAAGACCATGTGCTGCTAATGTAAAATGTTGCCTTTCTCTAACTTTAGTCTTTATTCTCAACCTTGCAACTGCCACACACTCACATACACAGAATAAGGAAAATCAACTCCTCCTTCTGGAAGGAAACGTTTCTTCTTTTATTTTATGACGTCTGCTCCTTATTGCTGTGACGGTGCGGTTGAAGCACACCCCTTCTTCACTAGATTACAAGGGTGAATTTGAATAGACAGACACTGGAGGGGACCAGCCCAGCACACTCTCTTGAATTGTCCCTTAGCTTTTCAGGCAGTTCCAGTGCCTTTGAAAAGAGTGGGAATAAAGTGACTGCTGATTAAGCAGAGGGTTTGACATGGGAATAGGTTTGTCAATTGTTTGAAAGTCACACTGCCTAGACTACAACTTTTAAAATGTAAATGCATGACACAAATACTGCCCAACAAAATAGGATGGATTTGATTGAGAAGGCCACAAAGGACAGCCAAAGGTCTATTCCAGCAATAAAGAAAAATATATATCTGGTGTCAGAGAAAGATAATGAAGTACTTGATAGATGTTATCTTCAATTTAATAATCCAAAATTATTTTTAGTTTTAGTTTCTATAACAGTTATTTCTTAAGCATTTTCAATTTCCAGAAAAATTTTTCAGATGCCTGCTTTGTCAGAATGGACTCCCTGAATAATTTTAAATAGGATAGCATAAAACACTGCTTAACAAAAATCAACTTTTCTGGTAATACATCAGTTTAATTTCCAGGCCAAAAAATAGTTAAATTTTACAAAATTCCATGCTGATCAATTTTATCAGAAGCTTCTTCCATCCAACTTAGAGAGCTGACACAAAGATGTAGCTTTCATGTTGTGTAGGATAGGGAAGGATTGGGGGCTACACAATTGTTTCACTGATCAAGGTTGATTTTGGTCACTATTTTGTCACTAATAATGGAGAAACAAATAAGAGCCTTGATGTTAGATACATTAAAAAATACTCATTTCTTCAATCCCCAAAAATATTAATCAAAAAAGGCATCAAAATGAAGGTAATTAACACAATCATAATTTATATTTTAAAATTAAAATACTTCTAGGAATAAAAAAGGAAAGGAAAAGAAAGAAAAATATAAAAATAAATGAAAGAAAAGGGCAAGTATTATTCATAATCACTAATGTATGGAATCACCTAAGTGACACCAACAGATGAGTGGACAAAGAAAATGTAGGATATGTACACAATGGAACACTATTACAGCCCCTGAATCATTCTGTCCCTGTGTCCATACATGTTATATCTGTTTTTTTATTTTTAACTTTTGCAGGCACATGGTAGGTGTATATATTTATGAGGTACATGAGATACTTTGACACAGGCATGCAAGCAATGCATAGTAATCATATAATGGTAAATGAAGCATCCATTACAAATTTGTAATACAAATTTGTCCTTTGTATTACAAACAATCCTAGTGTACTCTTTTAGTTATTTCTAAATGTACAACTTAATTATTAATGACTATAGTTCCCCTACTGTGCTATCAAATACTAGGTCTTATTATTTCTAACCATTTTTTTAAATCCAGTAACCATAATTCCTCCCCACCCCCACTACCCTTCCTCCTCACCCCCACTACCCTTCCCAGCCTCTGGTACATGCTATGTCTGCTTTAGAAGCAAATTAAATGACAAATACAATTCGTTTCTTTAAAATACTTACACAAGCATGAACATGCACACTTTTTTCACATTGCATGCCTCACTAACAAAACCTTCAAACTTCTGCTTTAGACATTTCTGTTTTTCAAAATTCCATCATGGCAGGAAAAATAGATTTTTCTCTTTTTTTTATTTTTTGGTTTTATTTTTTTGAGACGGAGTCTCGCTCTGCGCCCAGGCTGGAGTGCAGTGGCACGATCTGGGCTCACTGCAAGCTCCGCCTCCCGGGTTCACGCCATTCTCCTGCCTCAGCCTCCCGAGTAGCTGGGACTACAGGCGCCCGCCACGGCGCCCGGCTAATTTTTTTGTATTTTTAGTAGAGACGGGGTTTCACCGTCGTCTCGATCTCCTGACCTCGTGATCTACCCGCCTCGGCCTCCCAAAGCGCTGGGATTACAGGCGTAAGCCACGGCGCCCGGCCTTTTCTTTTTTTCTTTTTTTTTTTTTACTCTTCCCACGCTATGTCTGTATAGCAGCACTTCCTCCCTCTCATATTTCTTGCAGGAAGCTCAGATCCCTTGTTGTCTAGGTGCCCTGCACAAACTACTCGCCCACCCAAAGCCATAACTGATCTCAACAAAAGATGCCTTCTACATCAATGAACCCAAACTCTGAGAAGGCATTTAAATAATCTTCTGTTATTTGCCCATGCCCTTTAGTCTTATCTCTCTCTTCAGCCAACTTCTAGATAGAATTATTCAAATACAAAGCTCTCAACAAAAGGAATGGCTTTTCCACATCCGCCTTCCGACCATGTTACAAAAGTTTGCAAGCAGACTTTACCACTTCCAAATCAGTTGTAAAATATAACTGCGAAGATTATGGCCAGAGACCGGGCGTGGTAGCTCACGCCTGTAATCCCAGCATTTTGAGAGGACAAGGCGGTGGATCACTTAAGGTCAGGAGTTCAAGACCAGACTGGCCAACCCAGTGAAAATCCACCTCTACTAGAAATATGAAAATTATCCAGGTGTGCTGGCGGGCGCCTGTAATCCCAGCTACTCAGGAGGCTGAGCACAAGAATCGCTTGAACCTGGGAGGTGGAGGTTGGAGTGAGCTGAGATTGCGCAACTGCACTCCAGCCTGGGCAACAGAGTGAAACTCCATGTCAAAAAAAAAAAAAAAAAAAAAAAAAAGATTATGGCCAGAGACTCATCATTTAAATAAGTATTTTATTTGCTTGAAAAACTCAGATCAATAAAGACATCTAAAGCAAAATGGACTCAAATGTGTCTTCCCTACATCTCTTACCTTAATAAATACGTTATTCTCTTCTCAGTTTTGATTCTTCAGGGTATTGAATCATATATTGAAGAATGTAGCTGCTATACTGAAAAACCCTGAAGTCACAGAGGCTTAACAAAGTAGTATACTTCCTGCTCACATCACCATCCCCCTTTTTTTTTTTTTTTTTCTGATTCAGAGGACTTCATGGTGATCTGTCAGGCAACAGATCTCTCTTCATCTTCTGGCTGCCTCCTCTTTCTTCAGCCAGTGAATAAAATAGAGATTGAGAGAAGACACATTTGCTTCTTATCCACACATCACTTCCACTCATCATTCTACATTGGAGAATTATTCACGTGCCCCCTTGCCTCCAGATTCAAGGTGGGGAGAGCTGAGAAAAGTAAGTCCCTGGCTGGACAGCCACTTCTCAGCAATAAAACTATGCAATAGAATAAATGTATTAATCTTTGGTGGAAAGCTAGCATCTTTCCTACAAAATAATCATATGCAGCAATAGTAAAATGCTTGTGGTAAAAAAAAATGGTTCATTTTGGCCAGGCACCGTGGTTCACGCCTGTAATCCCGGCACTTTTGGAGGCCGAGGCAGGTGGATCACCTGAGGTCGGGAGTTCAAGACCAGCCTGACCAACAGTGAGAAACCCCATCTCTACTAAAAATACAAAATTAGGCGGGCGTGGTGGCACATACCTGTAATCCCAGCTACTCGGGAGGCTGAGGCAGGAGAATGGCTTGAACCAGGGAGGTGGAGGTTGTGGTGAGCCGAGATTGCACCATTGCACTCTAGCCTGGGCAACAAGAGCGAAAACTCAAAAACATAAATAAATAAAATAAAAATTTAAAAATGGTTCATTTTGTTGATATCTATTGAGCTCATGGATTATATTTGACTAAAAGCTGACAACAGAATAAAAAGAACATTGTTTGAAATAAGAATGTTAATAAGCTATTCTAATGATATAAGTAAAAATATTGTGACCTTATAGTCTTGTCTATAGTTGTATAACATTGAGTGCTACTTTTCACTAAAAATTGTATTTCATGTAAGTATTCAATTTTCATCATCCTCTTTCACTGTTTCAATGCCTTTTTTACCTCTTATCAGTGGAAAACAGGCCAGCTGTTGCCAGGAAAACATGTGGTGATACTGCTGCTTTAATGATGATGAAGAACACTTGTTTGGGTGAATTTTTTTTTTTTTTTTTTTTTTTTTTTTTTTTTTTGATAGAGAGTCTCACTCTTCCACCCAGTTTGGAGTGCAGTAGTGCGATCTCGGCTCACTGCAACCTCCGCCTCCTGGGTTCAAGCAATTCTCCTGCCTCAGCCTCTTGAGTAGCTGGGATTACATGCATGCACCACCACCCCTGGCTAATTTTTGTATTTTTAGTAGAGACAGGGTTTCACCATGTTAGCCAGGCTGATCTCAAACTCCTGACCCTAGGTGATCTGCCCGCCTCAACCTCCCAAAGTGCTGGGATTACAGGTATGAGCCATTGTGCCTGGCTGAGTGATTCTTATATCCCAAACACTTTTTTTTTGTTTGTTTGTTTTTTTACTTTTACTTTAGGTACAAGGGGTACATGTGCAGGTTGGTTACATTGGTAAATTGTGTGTTGCTGAGGTTTGATATATGAATGATCTGCCACCCAGGTGGTGAGCACAGTACCTGATGGCTAGTTTTTCAAACCTTGCCCAGCTTCCTCCTTCCCCTTCTAGTAGTTCCCAGTGTCTATTGCTCCCATCTTTGCAGACACTGTTGTTTGTATATTACATACAAACTCTTTTAATCCTGCTACAATCCCATAAGGTAGAAATTGTTACATTCACCCTCTTAGCAAATGAGAAAACTGAAATTTAAATTACCAGTATAATGTAATCCACAAGTGGCAGAGCAGACATTTGAAATCAAGGAGTTTGGCTCCAGAGCCCAAGCTTTTAAACAATATGCCATATACTCTATTTTAAATAAACTGCTCTTTTCCCCAAAGAGCCCCAGCTCCATCAGAACACATGAGAACAGAATCTGCAAGAATTTTTACACCTATGGTATCTACACCTCCTCAAAGATCCCTAATCTTTCTCTGTGTGTCAAAAACTATTTTAATGAAACTTCACTTTCTTTCCATTCTTGATAATAAATTGATGAGTGTATGGAACCAAAAAGGTTGTCATTATAGGTTTGTATCCAAGAAAGAAATAGGTTTTGTAGAAGAGTAAGTAATGTTCTTAGGCTATAAAGAAGGTCTGTTTGCTAGAACTTAAAATGGGAGGGAATATGATTTCTAGGCATCTCCATTAGCAACTTCTAATTTTCATAAAGTACAATGGAAAGCAGTTTCAGTGGAATTTTACCATGATATCCATCATAGCAAAATTCTTCTCAACATAGGACTAGAAGGAAGGTTCCTTAACCTGATAGAGTATCTACAAAATCATACAATAAACATTAGACTTAATGGTAAATTATTTAAATGGTGAATTATGGCCATTTCTGTTCAACATTTAGCTGAGTTCCTAGCTAGTACAAGAAAACAAGTAAAAGAAATAATACTCATGTGAATGAAAAAAGAGAACTAAATCTGTAATTATTAGCTAAGTTTTTAAAATGATTTTTTATGTAGAAACGTCAAAAAGTATTCAGAAAACAGTAACAAAAAAGTAAGCTTAGCAAGATTTTTGAATATGACAACAAATTAAATTATATTTATACATACCTATCATTTAAAAATAGAAAATGGATTATTTTTAAAGATAATACTTCAAATAACATTAAAAAACATACAGCTAATAAAATGTATGCCAGTTTTACTCTGAAAATTAAAAAACATGAAGACATTAAAGATGACCTAATAAAATGAAAGAAGAAATCATGTTCTTAGATTAAAAGTTCCAATAATGTAAATTTTTCAGTTATGCTCCAAATGATATATAAATTTAATGCAATCTCAAATCCCATTAGTCTGTTTGGAAATTGACAAGTTGATGTTAAAATTTAAATCCAAATGCAAAAGTTACCCATTTAAAGCAATCTGTGGAAGAAAATATCTGGAGGATTTACATTATCAAATATCAAGTCCCATTATAAGCTGTATTAGTTAAAAAGTGATTTGTGACAAGAATAGATGAATAAACCAATAGAGAAGAACAGGGAGTTCTGAAGGAGACCCACATATACAAGAAAAGGTGGATTTATACTGTATCATAACTAAACTGGAATTATGTTTCTTAACATTCCCTTTCCTGTGTATTTCCTTATCGATGTGGACAACAAGAGACATTTGGCATGAGATTTGGAGCCTGGAGGTGAAGCAGCAGGCACATTTTTAAAAACATATTCCCAAAGTCTGTACAGAGTACAGGTGCTGTTGTAGCTCATTCACACTGTCACTTACCTGGTGGCTCGCTTATTGGTTCAGGGCAGCAGCTGGACCTGCAGCTGCAGCAGTTCCTCCTTCGGTTTCCCTGAGCCCTGGACTAGACGTGTTAGCTCCATAGGAAGCACATCCACTTTTGCAGATCCATCACTGCAGGTGGGGTTTTGGAAGTAATGAGACTCACCTGAGTTTCAGTTTATCTGTTCAGGTTTTATCTCATCCTCATAGGGTCCAGTTGACAATACTTTCCCTACTTTATAACCATATTTCCTTTCTGTTTGGCTATCTGGAACCAGACACAGAAGCAATAACCTCATATAGGCTGTTCAACCAGCCTCCACAATTGCACATGGGCAAATCCATTTAATAAACCTTTATGTATTTGCTTATCTTCTAGTGATGGTGCTTCTCTGATTGAATCCTGATTGATATCCCTTGATTTATGACAATAACAATACTGTTGTACAGAGGAAATTTTTTTCAATAACCTGTACTAGGTCATGTAAATACCCTTCTTGGGAAAAAAATTTTTTTGACTATTACAAGTCAACTCCAGAGGGGTTCTAGATTTAAATTTGTGTGCGCACGCACACACACACGCATGTGCACACACACATATATATACGTATATACATATTTTAGTATATATATACATATATTAGTGTATATATACGTATATATATGTGTATATATACGTATATATACACATATATATGAGTATATATATATAACATAACAATTGATTAATTGGGCTACTTTAAAACTGAATACTTCAGTTCATCAAAATACACTGTAAAGAGAGTCTAAAGGCAAATCATGTAGTAAGAGAAGATGATTGCAATCTATACATCAAAGGATTTGTATTCAGAATTTATAATGAAGTCCCACACAGCAATTTAAAAAGGCAACACTGTACTTACTGAAAATATGAGCAAAAAATTAAATAAGCTCTTCAAAGAATATTCAAGGGGAGGAGCCAAGATGGCTGAATAGGAACAGCTCCGGTCTACAGTTCCCAGCATGAGCGACGCAGAAGACAGTGATTTCTGCATTTCCATCTGAGGTACCGGGTTCATCTCACTAGGGAGTGCCAGACAGTGGGCGCAGGTCAGTGGGTGCGTGCACCGTGCGCGAGCAGAAGCAGGGCGAGGCATTGCCTCACTTGGGAAGTGCAAGGGGTCAGGGAGTTCCCTTTCCGAGTCAAAGAAAGGGGTGACGGACGGCACCTGGAAAATCGGGTCACTCCCACCCGAATACTGCGCTTTTCTGATGGGCTTAAAAAACGGCGCACCACGAGATTATATCCCACACCTGGCTTGGAGGGTCCTAAGCCCACGGAGTCTCGCTGACTGCTAGCACAGCAGTCTGAGATCAAACTGCAAGGCGGCAGCGAGGCTGGGGGAGGGGCGCCAGCCATTGCCCAGGCTTGCTTAGGTAAACAAAGCCGCAGGGAAGCTCGAACTGGGCGGAGCCCACCACAGCACAAGGAGGCCTGCCTGCCTCTGTAGGCTCCACCTCTGGGGGCAGGGCACAGACAAACAAAAAGACAGCAGTAACCTCTGCAGACTTAAATGTCCATGTCTGACAGCTTTGAAGAGAGCAGTGGTTCTCCCAGCACGCAGCTGGAGATCTGAGAACGGGCAGACTGCCTCCTCAAGTGGGTCCATGACCCCTGACCCCTGAACCCTGACCCCTGAGCAACCTAACTGGGAGGCACCCCCCAGCAGCGGCACACTGACACCTCACACGGCAGGGTACTCCAACAGACCTGCAGCTGAGGGTCCTGTCTGTTAGAAGGAAAACTAACAAACAGAAAGGACATCCACACCAAAAACCCATCTGTAAATCACCATCATCAAAGACCAAAAGTAGATAAAACCACAAAGATGGGGAAAAAACAGAACAGAAAAACTGGAAACTCTAAAAAGCAGAGCACGTCTCCTCCTCCAAAGGAACACAGTTCCTCACCAGCAATGGAACAAAGCTGGATGGAGAATGACTTTGAAGAGCTGGGAGAAAAAGGCTTCAGACGATCAAATTACTCTGAGCTACGGGAGGACATTCAAACCAAAGGCAAAGAAGTTGAAAACTTTGAAAAAAATTTAGAAGAATGTATAACTAGAATAACCAATACACAGAAGTGCTTAAAGGAGCTGATGGAGCTGAAAACCAAGGCTCGAGAACTACATGAAGAATGCAGAAGCCTCAGGAGCCGATGCCATCAACTGGAAGAAAGGGTATCAGCAATGGAAGATGAAATGAATGAAATGAAGCGAGAAGGGAAGTTTAGAGAAAAAAGAATAAAAAGAAATGAGCAAAGCCTCCAAGAAATATGGGACTATGTGAAAAGACCAAATCTACGTCTGATTGGTGTACCTGAAAGTGATGTGGAGAATGGAACCAAGTTGGAAAACACTCTGCAGGATATTATCCAGGAGAACTTCCCCAATCTAGCAAGGCAGGCCAACGTTCAGATTCAGGAAATACAGAGAACGCCACAAAGATACTCCTCGAGAAGAGCAACTCCAAGACACATAATTGTCAGATTCACCAAAGTTGAAATGAAGGAAAAAAATGTTAAGGGCAGCCAGAGAGAAAGGTTGGGTTACCCTCAAAGGGAAGCCCATCAGACTGACAGCGGATCTCTCGGCAGAAACCCTACAAGCCAGAAGAGAGTGGGGGCCAATATTCAACATTCTTAAAGAAAAGAATTTTCAACCCAGAATTTCATATCCAGCCAAACTAAGCGTCATAAGTGAAGGAGAAATAAAATACTTTACAGACAAGCAAATGCTGAGAGATTTTGTCACCACCAGGCTTGCCCTAAAAGAGCTCCTGAAGGAAGCGCTAAACATGGAAAGGAACAACCGGTACCAACAGCTGCAAAGTCATGCCAAAATGTAAACACCATCAAGACTAGGAAGAAACTGCATCAACTAACGAGCAAAATAACCAGCTAACATCATAATGACAGGATCAAATTCACACATAACAATATTAACTTTAAATGTAAATGGACTAAATGCTCCAATTAAAAGACACAGACTGGCAAACTGGATAAAGAGTCAAGACCCATCAGTGTGCTGTATTCAGGAAACCCATCTCACGTGAAGATACACACATAGGCTCAAAATAAAAGGATGGAGGAAGATCTACCAAGCAAATGGAAAACGAAAAAAGGCAGGGGTTGCAATCCGAGTCTCTGATAAAACAGACTTTAAATCAACAAAGATCAAAAGAGACAAAGAAGGCCATTACATAATGGTAAGGGATCAATTCAACAAGAAGAGCTAACTATCCTAAATATATATGCACCCAATACAGGAGCACCCAGATTCATAAAGCAAGTCCTGAGTGACCTACAAAGAGACTTAGACTCCCACACATTAATAATGGGAGACTTTAACACCCCACTGTCAACATTAGACAGATCAATCAGACAGAAAGTCAACAAGGATACCCAGGAATTGAACTCAGCTCTGCACCAAGCGGACGTAATAGACATCTACAGAACTCTCCACCCCAAATCAACGGAATATACATGTTTTTCAGCACCACACCACACCTATTCCAAAATTGACCACATACTTGGAAGTAAAGCTCTCCTCAGCAAATGTAAAAGAACAGAAATTATAACAAACTATCTCTCAGACCACAGTGCAATCAAACTAGAACTCAGGATTAAGAATCTCACTCAAAACAGCTCAACTACATGGAAACTGAACAACCTGCTCCTGAATGACTACTGGGTACATAATGAAATGAAGGCAGAAATAAAGATGTTCTTTGAAACCAATGAGAACAAAGACACAACATACCAGAATCTCTGGGACGCATTCAAAGCAGTGTGTAGAGGGAAATTTATAGCACTAAATGCCCACAAGAGAAAGCAGGAAAGATCCAAAATTGACACCCTAACATCACAATTAAAAGAACTAGAAAAGCAAGAGCAAACACATTCAAAAGCTAGCAGAAGCCAAGAAATAACTAAAATCAGAGCAGAACTGAAGGAAATAGAGACACAAAAAACCCTTCAAAAAATTAATGAATCCAGGAGCTGGTTTTTTGAAAGGATCAACAAAATAGATAGACCACTAGCAAGACTAATAAAGAAAAAAAGAGAGAAGAATCAAAAGACGCAATAAAAAATGATAAAGGGGATATCACCACCAATCCCACAGAAATACAAACTACCATCAGAGAATACTACAAACACCTCTATGCAAATAAACTAGAAAATCTAGAAGAAATGGATAAATTCCTTGACACATACACCCTCCCAAGACTAAACCAGGAAGAAGTTGAATCTCTGAATAGACCAATAACAGGATCTGAAATTGTGGCAATAATCAATAGCTTACCAACCAAAAAGAGTCCAGGACCAGATGGATTCACAGCCGAATTCTACCAGAGGTACAAGGAGGAACTGGTACCATTCCTTCTGAAACTATTCCAATCAATAGAAAAAGAGGGAATCCTCCCTGACTCAATTTATGAGGCCAGCATCATTCTGATGCCAAAGCCAGGCAGAGACACAACAAAAAAAGAGAATTTTAGACAAATATCCTTGATGAACATTGATGCAAAAATCCTCAATAAAATACTGGCAAACCGAATCCAGCAGCACATCAAAAAGCTTATCCACCATGATCAAGTGGGCTTCATCCCTGGGATGCAAGGCTGGTTCAATATATGCAAATCAATAAATGTAATCCAGCATATAAACAGAGCCAAAGACAAAAACCACATGATTATCTCAATAGATGCAGAAAAAGCCTTTGACAAAATTCAACAACGCTTCATGCTAAAAACTCTCAATAAATTAGGTATTATGGGACATATTTCAAAATAATAAGAGCTATCTATGACAAACCCACAGCCAATATCATACTGAATGGGCAAAAACTGGAAGCATTCCCTTTGAAAACTGGCACAAGACAGGGATGCCCTCTCTCACCACTCCTATTCAACATAGTGTTGGAAGTTCTGGCCAGGGCAATTAGGCAGGAGAAGGAAATAAAGGGTATTCAATTAGGAAAAGAGGAAGTCAAATTGTCCCTGTTTGTAGACGACATGATTGTATATCTAGAAAACCCCATCATCTCAGCCCAAAATCTCCTTAAGCTGATAAGCAACTTCAGCAAAGTCTCAGGATACAAAATCAATGTACAAAAATCACAGGCATTCTTATACACCAACAACAGACAAACAGAGAGCCAAATTATGAATGAACTCCCATTCACAATTGCTTCAAAGAGAATGAAATACCTAGGAATCCAACTTACAAGGGATGTGAAGGACCTCTTCAAGGAGAACTACAAACCACTGCTCAAGGAAATAAAAGAGGATACAAACAAATGGAAGAACATTCCATGCTCATGGGTAGGAAGAATCAATATCGCGAAAATGGCCATACTGCCCAAGGTAATTTACAGATTCAATGCCATCCCCATCAAGCTACCAATGCCTTTCTTCACAGAATTGGAAAAAACTACTTTAAAGTTCATATGGAACCAAAAAAGAGCCCGCATCACCAAGTCAATCCTAAGCCAAAAGAACAAAGCTGGAGGCATCACAGTACCTGACTTCAAACTATACTACAAGGCTACAGTAATCAAAACAGCATGGTACTGGTACCAAAACAGAGATATAGATCAATGGAACAGAACAGAGCCCTCAGAAATAACGCCGCATATCTACAACTATGTGATCTTTGACAAACCTGAGAAAAACAAGCAATGGGGAAAGGATTCCCTATTTAATAAATGGTGCTGGGAAAACTGGCTAGCCATATGTAGAAAGCTGAAACTGGATCCCTTCCTTACACCTTATACAAAAATCAATTCAAGATGGATTAAAGACTTAAACGTTAGACCTAAAACCATAAAAACCCTGGAAGAAAACCTAGGCATTACCATTCAGGACATAGGCATGGGCAAGGACTTCATGTCTAAAACACCAAAATCCATGGCAACAAAAGCCAAAATGGACAAATGGGATCTAATTAAACTCAAGGGCTTCTGCCCAGCAAAAGAAACTACCATCAGAGTGAACAGGCAACCTACAAAATGGGAGAAAATTTTCGCAACCTACTTATCTGACAAAGGGCTAATATCCAGAATCTACAAAGAACTCAAACAAATTTACAAGAAAAAAACAAACAACCCCATCAAAAAGTGGGTGAAGGACATGAACAGACACTTCCCAAAAGAAGACATTTATGCAGCCAAAAAACACATGAAAAAATGCTCATCATCACTGGCCATCAGAGAAATGCAAATCAAAACCACAATGAGATACCATCTCACACCAGTTAGAATGGCAATCATTAAAAAGTCAGGAAACAACAGGTGCTGGAGAGGATGTGGAGAAATAGGAACACTTTTTACACTGTTGGTGGGACTGTAAACTAGTTCAACCATTGTGGAAGTCAGTGTGGCGATTCCTCAGGGATCTAGAACTGGAAATACCATTTGACCCAGCCATCCCATTACTGGGTATATACCCAAAGGATTATAAATCATGCTGCTATAAAGACACATGCACACGTATGTTTATTGCGGCATTATTCACGATAGCAAAGACTTGGAACCAACCCAAATGTCCAACAATGATAGACTGGATTAAGAAAATGTGGCACATATACACCATGGAATACTATGCAGCCATAAAAAATGATGAGTTCATGTCCTTTGTAGGGACATGGATGAAGTTGGAAAACATAATTCTCAGTAAACTATCACAAGAACAAAAAACCAAACACCACATATTCTCACTCATAGGTGGGAATTGAACAATGAGATCACATGGACACAGGAAGGGGAATATCACACTCTGGGGACTGTTGTGGGGTGGGGGGAGGGGGGAGGGATAGCATTTGGAGATATACCTAATGCTAGATGACGAGTTAGTGGGTGCAGTGCACCAGCATGGCACATGTATACATATGTAACTAACCTGCACAATGTGCACATGTACCCTAAAACTTAAAGTATAATTAAAAAAAAAAGAAAAAAAAAGAATATTCAAATGTCCAATAAGTATATGAAAAAGTGCTCAACTTTTTAAAAAAGACCGCTGAAAAATGAGAATTCAAACCACAAAGAAACCCTTGCACATTTACCAAATTATCAAAACTGAAAAAGTCAAACAAAATCAAATGTTGGCAAAGATATGGAGTAACTAGAACTCTCATTGATTGCTGGTGAGATTTAAACTGGTTTAACCATTTTGGAAAACTGATAAAATCTAAATATATGCATTCCTTATGATTCAGTAATTCCACTTCTAAGTATATATTTGACAGAAATGCATAGACAAATGAACCAAATGACATGTATAAGAAGGTTCATAGCAGTGCCATTTATAGTGGCTAAAAAACTGGAAACAACCATTTATCAAAGTAGAATACATAATAATTTCTAGTATATGCATGTGTGAAATTATATACAGCAATGAAATTAAATGAACTACACGTCCACATAACAAAATGAACTAACACACATGAACTGATTAAAAGATGTTAGCTAAAACAGAGCATAGATATTCCTCCAACTTATGATTGGGTTACATCCTGATAAACCCATCATAAGTTGGAAATATCACAAGTTGAAACTGCAGTTAATACGCCTAACCTACTGAACATCATAGCTTAGCTTAGCCTACTTTAAACATGCTCAGAACACTTAGAGTAGCCTACAGTTGGGCAAAAGCATACAATACAAAGCCTATTTTATAACAGACTGTTGAATATCTCATGTAATATATTAAATAACATACTGAAAGTGAAAAACAGGATAGTAGTGTGGGTTCTCACCATTAACGTACACAGCCGAAAGCTCACTGTGCCTGAAGAATGTTTGAAGCATGGAACTAAAATTAATTTCTGGATGATGAGAAAGCTGCAGAGACAGTGTCATCAGTCTCTCTTCTGAGGAGTCTCAAGAACAGCTGGTAGAAGGCACTGGAGCATCCTACACTTGATAGTTTAGCAGGTGTGATGTTCTTTGAGAGGAAGTCAAGTATCTATTTACCCTAATCATGTGGCAGACTTGGAACTGCAGCTCATTGCCACTGCTCAGTATTGCAAAGGAATATTGTACCACATATCACTAGTCTGAGAAAATATCAAAATTCAAAATGTCAAGTACAGCTTCTACTGAATGTATATCACTTTTGCACCAACATAAAGTAGAAAAGCCATAAGTCAAACCATGGTAAGTCAGGGACTGTGTGTACATATTTTATGATTCCATTTACATAAAGTTCACAAAGAGAAAACTAAGGGACTTATTACTGGAAGAGGACATAAGGAAGCTTCTGGGGGGGCTGATACTCTATTTCATTATCTGATTACTGGTTACATGCATGTATTCAATTTGTAAAAATGTATCAAGGTGTTCACTTAGGATCTATGCACTTTTCTGTATGTATACTGTACCTAAATTAAAAGTTATATTTTAAAATGATATCATTTATTGAACATAATTTAGATCATTGTTTTGTCTAATTTAGATCATTGTTTTGTCTAAGGACAGACATTTAGCACTGACAGAGGCAGGATAACTACAGCAGTCTGAGTCCACTGTCCATACTCTCAAAACACTACGGTATTCTTATATCTTAGTTTGCTTGCACTGCTACTACAAAATACCATAAACTGAATAGCTTACAAACAGCAGATATTTATTTCTCACAGTTCAAGAAGCTGGGAAGTCCCAGATCAAGGCACCAGCCAATTTGGAATCTGGTTAGGGTCTGTTTCCTGATTCATGGACAGCTGTCTTCTGACTGCATCCTCACATGGTGGAAGAGGTGAGGGTCTCTGTGGGACCTGTTATATAAGGGCACTAATCCCATTCATAACAGTTCTGCCCCTGTTATGCCGCTGAACACCATGACCTAATCACCACCAAAATGCTTCACCCCCTAATCCATCCCCTTGGGGTTTGGGATTTCAACATATGAAGTTTGAGGAGACACAAACATTCAGACCATAGCACCTATGAATTCCCATATTATTAATAAGCAAAGGATTTTTTTCACTGGGTAGGGATACTCAATATTCATTATAAGATGTAATTTCTTTGGAAATATCTGCACCAGTTTCCAAGAAATCAATGTAAAATAGAACTTAGAGTAATATTTGATCTCAAGTTAGGAACCCCAGCTTTAATATTTAATAGAGTTAAATATAGAATTACTGTTTAGAGCAACATGACAGTAATAACAGAAAATACTACGAAGAAACAAAATACACATTTAGACCACAAAAATTTGAAGGAGGCTTCTAGGACATTGTCACAAGTTTCCTATTCTTTGAGAGTTATCCAAGTAACAAATATGTCTTACACACTCTATGATGGAAACCTATAGGGATTTAATTCTAAATGCCTGGTAAAGCTGTAAGCTAAGTGATTGTACACCAGATTAGCATTCCAAGAGATTGTGGAAGTTAATGTAATAATTAAGAATACCAAGAGTGTTTTAGATTAAAAAAGATGACAGCTACTAATGTGTTGAAAGGTTTATTTGAGGATTTTAGAAGGTTTTGAGCCAAGCCTATTTTTTGAGAGTGTGTCTAAAGACTTCCATTCCTCCAGAATACTGCTGAATTTTTTAAAAGCATAACCATCACTCAACTGAAAAATAAATTTGTCAGCATAAAACAACTTTTATTTCCTTCATTCATCCAATCATTTATTCAGCCATCCCTCAACCCCCTTCTCAGTGCCAGGTATTCCATTAAAAACTGGACACAAAAGGATAAATAAAACATAATCCTTGCCTTAAAGCACCTTCCAATCTGAGAAGATTCGTAATCTGATGTAATATCAAGATTACAGCCGAAAATCCCAAACTGCTGAACACCGCAATCTAAGTTATAATTTCTTGAGAGTCATATTGCCACAGTAGCTAACATTTATTGAGTGCTTATTGTGTCTTCCTATAGAGTGAACCAAATACTCATTATCACAAAGCTAGTAATTCCAGCCTCTGTGTGTGTGTGTGTGTGTGTGTGTGTGTGTGTGTGTACAGAGTCCTCATTCTAGACTGTCACACAAAATTAACCCTGAGATCCATGGAAACATGGAATAGGGTGGCTAAAGAAATGATACTGTCAATGTAACTGCTGAAGATCCTAACACAGGAGTGTATCTCAGTGTGAAAATTACACTGTAGTTTTCACTATGAAGAAATGTGCTTTCTGTGAAATGGATATTTCTCCTTCATATTCTCATTCAGTTCTTAGAGGACTATTCTACCTGTGTACATATTGTCTAGATATATATAATACATCAGTTCTAAGGGTGAAATGACTAACTTATTTCAATGTTACCTTTAAAAAGAAAATGTTTCTTCCATCGTATCCTGGCTTGTGCAATGAAACTGCCTCCTGTTTCCAGCACTTGGAACTGTGGGTGTGCACAATGGTTTCCTGTCAGCCCCAGGTCATGGACGTGGGGAAAGGAGATTGTTCCCCTTCTCCTCTGGCCCACCCACCCCCATTCTGGGCCCTCGGGTGCTCCGTTTACAAGGTTGAATACCCAACAACAGAACCTTGTTACCACAGATGCAGACCTTCACAAGGGGGCATGGGTCACATTAGCTCTTTTGTTCTGCCTATTTTCTAAAACATGCAGTCTCTTTCAATTTCCACATCTTTCTCCTTGGCTTGCCCTCCCTCTTCCTTCTGCAAATCCACCCTTTTCTGCCTTGATGCACTTCCCCTATTATGTTGCTTTCCTTGCAAAACAAAACTTAGCAAGGAGGCACATAGTAAAAATTCAAATGGTTATTTGAGATGGTTGTGATGTTGTGTGAGGCAGATGGAAAATTAGCAACTGCATCCTGCTAACAAGGACACAGATATCTCTTCCAGTGTCCTAACAGACACAGCAGATCTTGCTAAGATCTCTGGGTACTGGAAAGACTGCTGCAGAGGAACACCGGCAAGATTTTTCACAACCCCATGGGATGCCTACCCTCATGAAGAATTGGGGTACACACCATTGGCACTATGTGGAGATGTTAGTACAGCAGCGTCTGCCTCCTCCACGTTCTCCATACTGCTGCCTCTGGATGCATGGGTGGGATCAGTGAGAGTTAAGTTAATGGATGTTGGTGCTATCAGTAGCCATAGTAGACTTTAAACATGGCTTGTTTCCTACCCAGGATTTTCTCACCTCCCTTTGACTCACCTATATTCAACACAGTCTTTTCTGATAGTAACAATGGTATCTATGCTTCCTGGGTATAGACATTTATGCACCCCACCCTGAACTCAATGACATTAACAGCAATCGCCACTGGCCCACCCTGTGAAATCCCCAAATCACACTTCAGGAAAGGCCTCCAGCAAATAGAGAAGAACTAAACATGCTCTAAAAATATATCAGAAAGGTGAAACTATGTTTAAATAAAACTATGATGTCATATGTATTTGTATGCACTAGCATTTCCTGCTAAAGTCAAAATTCCTGAGGAGCAGAACATTATATAAATAGGAAAATAGGTCCATTTAACACAGCAGCTGAAGACAGGCCAGGCTACGAGATACAGAAAAGGGAGTAAATGCCTAAAACATGTGATCAGACAGCACAATTACTTCTGTTATTCATCCAGCATCTACTCTTGCATAGCTACTGAATGTTCCCCATAATTCCAATCTCCTTAGTGAAACATAAAGACAAATGAAATTAATTATTAGATGAAAAAGAAGAGATTTTAATAAGCTATTTTATTATTGTTTCTTTGCATTATTAGTTGCTTGGTATTCAGTGATTTTCCTAATTAAAAGAATTAAATTAACAAAAATCTTCCCAATCTTGTACTAATTATTTTAAAGAAAGAAAGGAAGAATGTGAAACATTTTAAACATTCTTTTAAAAATATAGAATGCACTCCAAATAAAAGTCTCCCTTTGTTATTTTCTCCCATCCCCAAATTCATGTTCCAAATGTCATTTTACAACTTGGCACATTTACATTTAAAGTAAATATTTGAAACCATGTTTAAAAGTCATTGTAATATGTTGCAGGAAGTCAAGGACCCCGAATGGAGGGACTGGCTGGAGCCGCCGCAGAGGAACATAAATTGTGAAGATTTCATGGACATTTATCCGTTCCCAAATAATACTTTTATAATTTCTTACGACTGTCTTTACTTTAATTTCTTAATCCTGTTATCTTCGTAAGCTGAGGATGTACATCAGCTCAGGACCACTATGATAATTGTGTTAACTGTACAAATTGATTGTAAAACATGTGTGTTTGAACAATATGAAATCAGTGCACCTTGAAAAACAACAGAATAACAGCGACTTTTAGGGAACAAGGGAAGACAACCGTAAGGTCTGATTGCCTGTGGGGTTGGGCAAAAAGAGTCATATCTTTCTTCTTGCAGAAAGCCTATAAACGGACGTGCAAGTAGGAGAGATATCACTAAATTCTTTTCCTAGCAAGGAATATTACTATTAATACCCTGGGAAAGGAATGCATTCCTGGGGAGAGGTCTATAAATGGCCATTCTGGGAGTGTCTGTCTTATTTGGTTGAGATAAGGACTGAGATATGCCCTGGTCTCCTGCAGTACCCTCAGGCTTATTAGGGTGGGGAAAAGCTCCACCCTGGTAAATTTGTGGTCAGACCGGGTCCTGCTCTTGAACCCTGTTTTCTGTTGTTTAAGATGTTTATTAAGACAATACATGCATGGCTGAACATAGACCCTTATCAGTAGTTCTGCTTTGCCTTTGTCCTATTCCCTCAGAAGCATGTGACCTTTGTTCTGTTTTTTGCCCTTTGAAGCATGTGATCTTTGTACCTACTCCCTGTTTTACACCCCTTCCCCTTTTGAAACCCTTAATAAAAAACTTGCCAGTTTGAGCCTCAGGTGGGCATCACAGACCTACCGATATGTGATGTCACCCCTGGCAGCCCAGCTATAAAATTCCTCTCTTTGTACTCTTTCTCTTTATTTCTCAGCCGGCTGACACTTATGGAAAAACAGAAAGAACCTACATTGAAATGTTGGGGGCAGATTCCCCCGATATAGGAGCACAACATTATATAAATAGGAAAATAGGTCCAGTTAACATAGCAGCTGAAGACAGGCTGGGCTACGACATACAGAAAAGGGAGTAAATGCCTAAAACATGTGATCAGACAGCACAATTACTTCTGTTATTCATCCAGCATCTACTCTTGCATAGCTACTGAATGTTCCCCATAATTCCAATCTCCTTAGTGAAACATAAAGACAAATGAAGCTAATTATTAGATGAAAAAGAAGAGATTTTAATAAGCTATTTTATTATTGTTTCTTTGCATTATTAGTTGCTTGGTATTCAGTGATTTTCCTACTTAAAAGAATTAAACTAATAAAAATCTTCCCAATCTTGTACTAATTATTTTAAAGAAAGGAAGAATGTGAAACATTTTAAACATTCTTTTAAAAATATAGAATGCACTCCAAATAAAAGTCTGCCTTTGTTATTTTCTCCCATCCCCAAATTCATGTTCCAAATGTCATTTTACAACTTGGCACATTTACATTTAAAGTAAATATTTGAAACTATGTTTAAAAGTCATTGTAATAGGCATCAGCAAGTGGTCTTTATTAAGACAATTTGAAAGAAACGCCTCATAACGTTCTCTTGTTCATATAATACTTTCAGAGTTTGTATTAAACAACTGAATGCAGAATATACTGACAGGGAGAAAGCCCCTAAGTTGTTACAATATACAGATTGATTGTGGCATTTGTAATAGAAGTTGAGCTATTAAGGAGCAGAGGCTTTTTATAATCAATTAGTTTCCTTCAAATGGCAAACTTCATGTGTATACTTTTGTTTTTCACATAGAGCAAATAATAATTTCCCATATTTCTGAGCTGATCTTGAATATATATGCAAAGTTTACATATTATAATGAGACAAATTTCCTGCTAAATCAGGTTTCTCTTCCCACTTTTTGATGTTGGGTTGCTTTGATTGGATAAAAAAAAATCAGGAGCTGTCAATCTGTTTTCTTTTCAAGTCTTTTCTGTTCCTTTTGAAATTAGTTACAGCCTGCTTTTTGTAGCATTGTAACCAGTCTGACCTAATTTAATTACCATGACTTGCGTGGTTTAAAGATAAATACTTTTATTCAGTTTGTCTACTCTGTGTATGTTTCCCTCCCTTTCATACAATCCTCTATATTTTAGCATTCAAAACCCTTGTTATTTCTCTCTTTATTGGGCTAACACAGAGCTGGTTTTTTTTGGTGGTGTCTATATTCAGAAGTTTTCTTTGATGCTACATTTGCTTTCTCCCTTTTCTGTATCTGTTTGTGTGCTGAGAATTGTGGGCCTCTGTGGGATCCAGACTAAACATTCTTTGACTTGAACCACAGAGCATCACTACTGTACGTGTCTCTGTGCAGACCCAACTACTCTAATTTAGAAATAGAAGGGGAAAAAGGAGACTGAAAGAAACACAGCAGAGCCTTGGGGCTTAGAAACACTGTATTTAAAAATTCCAGTCCACAGAATGTACTACCAGGCCCAGGAAAAGATTAGACATTCACTTCAGCTATTTAAAATGGAAAACCTATTTCTGTTATTCCAGATTCACTGTGAGTCTTGTAAAGGGAATGCATACCATTTTACTGCTGCTTTCTTCCTGAGAAAAGAAGGCATGCAGAAAGATTTTCACAGTAAAAAGATTGTGCTCTCTGGCTATTGAGCTATATGCTCTAATAAAATGAACATCATCATAGCAAGGGTAGTGAATAACCAGCATTAAGATCTCACGAGGGAGTGTTTAGATTGATTGGAGTTAATCTATTAGCCTCCTTGAGCTCACTTGATATGTACCATCTGAGGGAGCCCTTTATTTTTCACAGAAAAGAACATATGCTGAATACTTATGGGGAATAAAACAAAGTGTAAAATCAGATCTGAGTCCTGAACAGATTGTGTCTTGCTACAGGTGTTGTATAGCCCTTTGCCTGCCCCTACAGACCCTCCTCTTAAAAAAGGTTCTCACAGCACGGTGCCTTTGCAAATTGTCCCACAGAAAATGTGAATGGGGTCTATTCTGCCACATGCAATGCCATCTGAAATGGCACAAAAACCTGCTGTTCCACAAAACAGACCATTCTGTTTTTTAAAAAGTAGGAGAAAAAGAAATTCAAGAATGCTGTTTCCCTTCACAAACTTTGGTTTGCTTGGGCACATGAAAAGAGATTTTTATCTTGCAAATGAAGTAAAAAATAAATAATTACAAAGACATCATTAAAAGTTCCATTTGAACTGTACAAATAATATTGTACCTTAAACAAACAGAAGGAGGCTTTTTATAAATGCCAAAAGCCAAAGCCCTACAGATTCTACAGATTAGGGTGAAACAGTTTCATTACCTCTATTCTTACAATGCGTCAAAATTGCCAAGAAAACTGTTTTCTGCCACATTGGTCTTAAGATAGTGACAAATCCCTTTAAACTAATCATTAGCCAGAGAATACTGAGCATAAATGTAATGAAACAATGTCAAGAATCCTGCCACAAGAGGTCACAGTTTATACTAAATTAATTAGTGTGCTCATGTTACATTTAATTTGGAGAAGCAGATATCTCTGCTTCTTAACAATCATTCATGGCTAATACTGAATACTTTTTTCTTCAACCATCTATGTGCTATAGCTCTTTTGTTCACTAGAGCCAATTAAAATGTAGAGAACTTGATTTCTGAGTTAATAACTCTGATGTTAATCACAGAAAGTACTGCAGGAGCCTGGTGCCAACCAAAGATAGCCAATGTTACCACCAAAGCAGGAGCAAGTTTTTGATGCTATAAATCTTTGAATATGTAAGGAACAGAGACTATATGAAATTCAAAAAATTACTGAAACAAGCTTGTATTTTAATAGTAGCTACATAAATTTTATTATATGAAGTTTGAACTGTACACAGTTTGAGAAAAAAGTATGTGATTTGCAATGATGACTACTATGTTCCAATTTAATGATATAATTTAGCCAAAATTTAACTATTAATACATCACTTTTTATTCATTTATTCTTCCAGTTTATGGTCAACTGCAGAAGTTCTATCTACTCGCTTATTTTAAGATAACATATAAGCAAGTTAGCATTAGTACTACAAAAAATGAAAAACAAATAGAATTCAAGATTAAGATAACAACATCTTGATATTGTTAGAACATATAAAAATAAGCTATAACTATCTCAACAAGAGAGATGGGCATGGTGGCTCGTGCCTGTAATCCCAGCACTTTGGGAGGCTGAGGCGGGCGGATCACTGAAGGTCACGAGTTCAAGACCAGCCTGGCCAACATGGTGAAACCCCATCTCTATTAAAAATACAAAAATTAGCCAGCCATGGTGGTGGGTGCCTCCAATCCCAGCTACTCAGGAGGCTGAGGCACCAGAATCATTGAACCTAGGAGGCAGAGGTTGCAGTGAGCTGAGATCGCACCACTGCACACCAGCCTGGGTGACAGAGTGGGACTCTGTCTCAAAAAAACAAAAAGAAAGAAAAATTTCTCTGGAAATTTATGTGAAATACTACATATTTAGAATTAGGAGAATTCTAAAATAAATATGTTAAGAAAAATTTTGAACTACTGAATATAAAACATAATTTAAAGCCAGCACAATGAAGGTGTATTGATTTGGAGATAAGTGTACCAAAAAGTGGAACAAAATAAAGAGATCCAAAATAGAATTTTATATATATAGAAAATTTGGCTTATAAAAATTGGTAAAATTTCAAGCAGTAGAAAAAAATAGATTATTCAATAAATAGTGTTGTGATAGCTGGCTAATCTTTGGGAGAAAAATAAATTGAATCCCTACTTCACTCTCTTAAACAACATTAATTCCAGAAGGATAAAGAACTTACAGGCTAAAGAAAAAAAGACAGTAACCCTTAAAACACAGGGAGAAAATATGCATTTAAAAAATATAATATTGTCTTAGGGAAACCCTTTTTAAGCAAGACTAAAAAACAAAAACAATGAGTAATAATATTGATAAAGTTGACCATGTAATTGTGAAGTATGCCATAAACTTAAACCACATATTTAAAAGTTTTGGAGTAAATGTTAGCAAAATAAATGGCAGAAAAGAGAGATTTTATATTCGAAACATACATGAAAAAATTAGATGCACTATATTATTGAATTAATGTCTAAAATGTGCACGTGCTGTTATCTTAGTTTTGCAGGTAAGGATACTGAAGCTCAGAAAGCCACATGTCTCAACAGACACAATTAAAGGGTAGCAGAGCAGGGATGTGTTTTTTTCTGACTCAAATACTTCCCATAAATAAAGAAATGTTAAAGTCTGATACTTTGCTTCTCAATGTGAGCTCCAAGGAGCAGCAGCACCGGCCTCGCACAGAAACTTAACTAGAAATGCAGACCCTGGCCGGGAGTGGTGGCTCATGCCTGTAATCCCAGAACTTTGGGAGGCCGACGGGGGCAGATCTTGAGGCCAGGAGTTTGAGACCCGCCTGGCCAACATAGTGAAACCCTGTCTCTACTAAAAATACAAAAATTAGTCGGGTATGGTGGCGCATGCTTGTAGTCCCAGCTACTCGGGAAGTTGAGGCAGGAGAACCTCTTAAACCCAGGAGGTGGAGGTTGTGGTGAGCCGAGATCACGTCACTGTACTCTAGCCTGGGCAACAGAGTGAGACTCTGTCTCAAAAATAAAATAAAATAAAATAAAAATGCAGAACCTAAGCCCTCATTGATTCTTATGCATATTAAATTGTGGTAGGCAATAATCTAATACAAACCTGAAAATATGTTCAACCTATAACAATAAAGTACTTAAAATAATTAATTAAAACAACTCTGAAAAATTATTTTTCACTGGTATAGATGAAAAAGATTGTGATAGTCAACAGTTGTTAAGCTAGTAAATTATATTAATATTGTTATCGTTGCAAGCCAAATGTTTGCTATTCCTTTTCCTCTGGCACCTGCACTTCAATAAGTCTGTAGGCAGATGGGATGGGGGATTGGGGTATTCTTCTCATTGGCCCAAGAGCTAAAAACAACTTTCCCTCTCCCTTATGAATATGAACTTTTCACCACAAGAGAATTTTGATAAAGCATGAGAATATCAATTTTAAATGGAGACTCTTAGCACATAAAAAGAACTTGGGGATATTAATGAAATCAAGAGTGTCTATTCAATTAAATATTTAGTAATGCCAGAGCACTACTGCTCTCAAGATGAGCAGGAGTATCACATGTGATAAATAGGAAAGTGCCTCCCACAAGCACTTAATAATAATATTAGTCAATAACTGGTTACTTTCCATGGGCCAGGCTTCTTGCTCAGCATTTTATTCACAATATTTCATTTGATGGGCACATGGACCCCATGAGGTACATATTATTATTAACTGAACTTCACAAATGAGAAAACTGAGAACAATAGGGGTTATGGGACTTGCTGAAATTCACACAGCTATTAACTATCACAGGAAGGATTCAAACCTAGAAAATTAGACTCCAGAGTTTTATGGTGAACCATGATTCCATACTGCCTCCCTTGCTGTTCACATTTCTGGGCCAATACCCGAAAGAGCTCAATAATACATTTTGAGATAAATCCAGTCTATTGGGCCAAAGGCTTTTTTTAACTACCAAAAACTTATAATATTATGGAAACTGAGATAGTTTAGTAAAAGTCAAATTGGTATTTGGGACAGTTGCATCTAGCTCTGAGTCAGTTACATATTAATCTAATACTGCCAATACATTTTATGCCACTTGAAATTATTTATACTATGCACAACAAGGTCCTAGGCAGAGTAAACAGATATAATCCAATCTTGAAGTAAAAAGTGAAATAGGGTTTCTCCTCAGTCACCCCTTGAATCATTCAGAAGTCCATATTGAGCACATTGAAAGGCATGCATTAGCAAGTCATGATTTTCCGGAAAAACATCAGAGCTGGACCCAGCTCAGTGACCAGATGCCTCTGTACTACTGCTACTGAAGGTACTACCTCTCTTCATTTTCCTCAGCCCTGCTGTATCTACTCTTCCCTGAAGCTTCTCCCTACTGCTTTCAACCCAGTTATGTTTTTCCACTTGCCTGATTTGTGCTCCTCAGAAGCTCAACTGCCATAATAAGATTGAAAAAGAGGGTGGGTCCACCCAGCAGTTCCTGACCTTGTCCTCTTCCCTTCTGTGTTACACAACTGTTTATTGGCTCCAAGCTGATCTCCAGCAGCCTTTCTGGACTCTGTCTTACTCATTTATCCCAGCAAAGATATTCTGCCCGACGTCACAGCCACATCGCACCTACTGGAAGCCAGGGTGGTCCACGTGGAGCCTGAGCATCCAGTAAATGTGGATGAACTTGTTTTAACATTTGTTCACTCTTGAAAAGGACAAACATTGTAAAGGGAAGGGAAAGGAATCTCAGAATATTTAGGTGTATCAGCAGAGGAAACTGATATTTCAAACAGGAGCCAAAAGTGACAAGGAAGTAATAGTATATGTATGTTGGAATAACCAGGATTGACAGGTCCAAATGAAACCAAGGCATAAAGTCGTGTCAGTGGCTTCATAGGCCTAAGCCATGAGTTTTATCAGAAGTTATTAAAGCAGGGAGACTGGATTTCTTCAGGTTTCCAAATAGAAAGTTGAAGAAAAGTTGTTAAGATTGGCTAAAAAAAAAAAAAAGGGCTTGAATGGTGGCTCATGCCTGTAATCCCAGCACTTTGTGAGGAGTTCAAGACCAGCCTGAGCAACATGGAGAAACCGTCTTTACAGGAGAAAAAAAAAAAACCCACGAAAAAACAGCCAGGCCTGGTGATACATGCCTGTAGTCCCAGCTACTCAGTAGGCTGAGGTAGGAGGATTACTTGAACCCGGGAGCAGAGGTTGCAGTGAGCTCACATTGCGCCACTGCACTCCAGCCTGGGCGACAGAAAAAAATCTGGCCTACAAAAAGGAAGATCCAGAAACAAGAGGAGTGGGGGTATGCAAATTAGTTTTTCACTGTAATTTGAAGTAAGGCTACTTTGCCTCTCATTCAGCCAGTTGGATGACTTATGTATCAGCATTAGTTGATGAAACAAAGTATAAAGTTTTATGGCTTATAGATACATCATGCACAGAATTAGAGAAGCGCTTTTGAATAAATAAATAAATAGCCTGAATGTGGGTCACAAGTTTACCTCTCTTATTTTTTAATTTTTGTTAACCTAAAATTATTCTGGTACTTAACTTTCTTTTTCTATTTTAGATTAATACTCCCTTTTATATTATTTTATCATTGTTTGTAAACATTCTTTTGAAAAGACCAATGTCTCAGAAAGTTAACATTTGGTTTAGATGCCTCTCTTTTAAAATAATTGGTGTTATTGGCTTTCATATGGACAGAATTTTCCATTTCTCATGAAGTGAATATCCATAGACAAGTCTATTCTTGAAAATCCTAACTATCTTTTCTATGGATCTCTTAAAGAATATTTTCCAGAAGTTTATGTTATATATTAGATTATTCTCAATATTTTTCTTCATAATTGTCCTTTAGACTACTGAATTCAATCCAAGAACTGCCATAATATGAAGGATAAATTTTACTACAATACGCTGAGGCTGGGCTTGGCCAAGGTGTGTTGTTCTCTAATGATGAGTCAGCACATCACCATGAATTTAGCAGAGTAACGCAATACCCCTTTATTATCTCACAATTATGTAGATCAGAAGTCTGGCCATAGTGAGACTGGGTTCCCTGCTCAGGGTACCCCAAGGCTGAAATCGGGATGTCCGCTGGGCTTTATTCTCTTCAGGAACTTGGAGTCCTCTTTCCTGCTTACCTGATTCTGTCAGAATTCCGTGTCTTGAAGTCATACGATTGAGGTCCTCATTTCCTTTCTGGCTGTCAGGCGGAGAATGCTATTAATTCTTTCAGGCTCCAGCAGTTCCTGGCTACGTGGCTTCCTCCATCTTCAAAGTTAGCAGTAGGACACTGAATCTTTCTGGAGCTTGAAATCTTTTTTACAAGAAAGAATCCCCTCTCTTTTTAAGGGCTCACCTGATTAGGTGAGACCCAAAGATACTCTCTATTTAAAATCAACTGCTTAATATAGCATAACATAACCACTGTATCCACACATCACTTCAAACTCAAGGGCCCAAGATATACAAGGGAGTGGGGTCATTGGAGATCATCTTAGAATTCTGACGACCATGCAAGGCATTCAAGGTATAGGGAAAATTACCAAGAACTGCCCAAGTGAAGCATATTTGAAATATTTCTGAAGCTCTGCTAGGAGATAGGGAGGGATTCTCTCTCATACAATGTTACCACCTTGAAAGAAAGAACTGAGTCTGTATGGCTCAGTGCTGCTATTGTAGTGTCTGGCATAATAGGGAGTCAATAATAGCTATTGAATAACTAGATGATGAATGAACGAATAAATAAGAAATACTCTTGTGGTAGAACATGAACTTCAGAGAATAAACCAGGACACAATTATTGACACATCAATATCAAGACCAACTATTTATCATAATGATAGAAACCAGGACTGGAAATCTATAACAACTTAGATGACCAGAAGTTCAGCTGAAGGAGAAATCAAGGGGCAACCTTTAGTATTCTGGATAAATTGGTGATGCAAAGGGAAAAATCGTATTACTATATGTATCTACAACCTTTACATACAAAATTACATTTTGAGTTGAATGACATTTGGATTGAGTTAATTCCTTTGTATTTCAATTTATTCCTCTACAAAGCCATGATTCAATTATTAAATAAATATCTATCTAGTTACGTTCTGTGTTACAGGCTAAGCATTTTAGCCATAGCAATGTATAAGAAAAATTTGCCTGTGAAGTCTAGTTACAGATGTTCAAACATTTAACTCCAGAAAATGTAATCATTGTTTGAGGCATTGGAGCATGTGTTATAATTTGGAAAGAAAATAAACATGCTAAATAAATTTAAACTTTTTTTTGTCTTTAAGGTTATTAAACAATTTGAACTTTGAAAAGTAAAAATCTGTAACTCATTCACACTTACTCTATTCATAAAAGGAGAATCTAACTTTTAGGCAATATAATTCCGTTTTTAATCTTCTTACATGTAAAAAATTTGATGACAGGATTGATATAAGAATAAGTAGTGAAAAGGAGCTATGTTTTATCTTATGAGGTTTATCAAGATAATTATACATCAAGGCATATATAAACTTTAAAAAGATTCCTTTTTCAATAACACCAAATGATCCAAAACAGTATTAACATTTAATGAAAGATGAAGATGAGGTTCCTTTTTAAATTATTATATTAATTACAATAAAGAGAAAAATCCCAACTTTTCTAAAATATATCCAAGATCTTTTCATCTATAAAGAACTTATAAATCTACAAGTCAAATCATCTTCACAAGCTTAAGCTGATAGTGTTGTAAACTGTTTTAATTACATTAATTAAAATTTGTACCATTTAAAATTAATTGATACAATTTAGCTTGTACTGCTCTGTAAAGTGCAAACGCTAATGAGACATAGGTTTCCCATCACCACCTTTAATTGAAAAAAAGAATGAGATAAAACTTTTGAAGTATAAAATGGTACATTTTGAAATTGTTAACAAAGAAAATTATTCCTGTTAAATCTAATATAATACATATTTTTAGAACAGAAAAAACAACAACTGTGAAACCTAAAATAAAAAGCAGTAAAAAAGTGTTTTGTGAGTCTACGTGAAATATTTGGTTACATTAAAATAGAAAGACAATGGCTGCTGGAAGAGCTGCAGTTGGTCTTTGATGACTAATTTCTCCAGCTAATTTGGAAAATAATATTCCTGAATTCATTCTTTCTGTTCCCTGTCTTCATCATTCTCTTCTTAACTGCACACCTACACTTCCTTACTGCACACCTACTCTTCTCCATCTAATAAAACAGCCAAATATCTCCTCTGATCCTATATATATAGCCAGCAGACAAATACAAAACATGGTTTATATTCTCATATAAAATAATATGGTCTGGCTAAAGTTGATGTTTAATTAAAACAATTTTAAGAGGTAAATTCAAATTAGTACTAAAACAATACATGTTTATTGCAGTAGTACTTGAACATAAAATACCTAAACCCAAAAATTATCCATATTTATACCTATCCACCACCCAGAAATAACACTGAAAACACTGTACATAACTCACATACACACACATATATACACATATGAATCTTTAGATGGATGTATTTCGAATACACACACATATACTCAAACATCTTTTGAAATTGGGTTATAACATACATGCTATTTTGAAATCTGCTTTTTTTCTTAAAAATGTAATATGAAAATGTTTCACCACCAATATTATTATTGTACTTAACAATGGATAGAGGTGTTTTTGTTTGTTTGTTTGTTTTTTGTTTTTTGTTTTTTTTTTAACAATGGCTAACCAGGGTTAATGAGGGTTTAGGTAAGCTGGCACTCTCATTAAAATTGTAAATTGGTCCAACTCTTCTGGAGTGAAGTTGGCAATGTATTTCAAGAGCTTTAAATATAATTTAACCATTATAAAATTTGAATGCCTTTCACTTCACATTGGGATGTGTACAAATTTCCATTACTAGAGTATTTGTTATAATCCACTTTATAATTTCCAAAAATAGCAGAAGACCAAAATGTGTAACAAGAGGTATCTGCTTTAAAAAATACAACATATTCATTGCACATAAAAGTATTTTACCTTAAAATTATGTGGATCATGGAGAATGTGAAAATGCTTCAAAGTTTAATTCACATATGGGCCTCCATAATTTTCACACAGGTTTGTAAAATATTACAATCTAAGTACACAGTCTTATCCACAGTAATACAGAATGGACAAGGGGAGCTTTCATTTAAGTATAGTCCTTTTATTCAGAATGCTAGAAGATGCAAACTATTGTGTAGTGAGAGAAAGCAAATTAGTTGTTACCAGAGATGGTGGAGGTAGCGGAGCAGTGGGAGGAGGGAGTTACAAAAAAGAAATTTTTGAGGTGATGAATATGTATTTGTCTTAATTGTGGTTCCACAGGTCACCTATGTCAAAATATATCAAACTGTACAATTTAATACGTGCAGTTTATTGTCTGTCAATTATATGGTTTGGATCCGTGTCCCCAGCCGAGTCTCATATTGAATTGTGATCCCAAGTGTTGGAGGTGGGGCCTGGTGGGAGGTGACTGAATCACGAAGGTGGACATCCCCCTTGCTCTTCTTCTGATAGAGTTCTCAAAAGATCTGGTTGTTTAAAAGTGTGTAGCATCTCTTCCCACCCCCCTCTTTCTCTTGCTGGCCATATGAAGACATGCCTTGCTTCCCCTTTGCCTTCTGCCATGGTTGTAAGTTTCCTGAGGCCTCCACAGTCATGCTTCCTGTATAGCCTGTGGAACTGTGAGTCAATTAAACTTTTTTTCTTCATACATTACCCAGTCTCAGGTAGTTCTTTACAGCAGTGTGAGAACTGACTAACAGAGTCAAGTTTGCCTCGATAAAGCCATTAAAAAATTAAAAAGACTCATAGTACCAGGTGTTTGTGAGGAAGTGGCGCACCTGGAAATCTTGTGTATTTTTGGTGGAATGGTTAATACAGCTGCAATGGAAAGTAACCTTGCAATATCTTATAAAGTTAAACACACACTTGTCATATGACCCAGCAATCCTACTTCTAAACATTTACTTGAGAGAGATAAAAGGCATATGTCAACAAAAATGTCTCTACTGATTACCAATTTTGAATTTTTTAATTAAAAAAAATATATATTTTTGAGACGGGAGTCTCACTCTGTTGCCCAGGCTGGAGTGCAGTTGCAAAATCTCGGCTTACAGCAACCTCCGCCTCCCAGGTTCAAGAGATTCTGGTGCCTCAGCCTTCTGAGTAGCTGGAATTACAGGCACATGCCACCACAACCGGCTAATGTTTTCTATTTTTAGTAGAGACAAGTTTTCACCATGTTGGTTAGGCTGTTCTTGAACTCCTGACCTCCAGTGATCCACCCACTTCAGACTCCCAAAATGCTAGGATTACACATGTAAACCACCGTGCCTGGTCCAAATTTAAAAAATATTTTTAATCCTCCTCTTATTGATTCCTCAGTCACTACATACTTCTGCCCACTCACTTCTTTCAGCACTCTTTTCTTCATCGTTCCTGAACTACGTTCTCTTTGTTTTCTTCCTACATATTTGGCACTTCCTTCTCCTTTGCCTTTGGTATCTCATCCTCCTTATTCCAGCCATTAAATGTTGCCATCTTGGCTTATTTTTACTTGCCATCTCTTCCCACACTATGCTCTTTCTGTAGGCTAATTTCATCCATTTCCATAGTTTCACTAATTTAATACTCCACAATTAACTCTCTCCTAAATTCCAGGCTTTTATCTTTGGCCACATATAAAACATTCCATGTGCATTCCTCAGAGGTTCTGCAGTCAGTATATCCTACACTGAAGCATGCTCTTATCCTCACAAACCTTCTTATAGTATTCAATATCTAAGTAAACAGCCACATCATCCAACCAATTGCTCAACCCCCAACCTGGAAATCAAAGATGAATGACACCTCCCAATTCATCACCTCTCACATCAAAGAAATTACCAAATTCAGGCAACTCACATGCTAATCACTTCTAAATTTCATTAACTTCTCTAACTACATTACCTTTGTTCTAATCAATTTATCTTCACCTTTACCCTGGATTTCTGTAGTAACTGGCCTCCCAAAATTTATTCTAGTCCCTGACCAACCTGTTCTCTATGTTAAGCTACCTCTTTCAAAATGTAAATCTGATCTTATCACATCCCTAATTCTTCTCCCACTTCACAGCCCAATTATAACCTTTTTAAAATTATTATTATGTTGCTCTTAGAATAATGGCCCTTATCTTTGGCATGGTCTGTGGGGAGCTATTACATGATCTGGTCTTTGCTAACCTCTCTAGCTTTATTCCCAATCTCTTTTCACTTTCCTCTCTCCTCTCCAACCACCCTGGCCATCTTTCTGGCTTTCCTCCCTCCAAGGGATGTTGTACTTCCCTCTCCATCTAGGATTCTCTTCCTGCTCCCTTCTATCACTGGTTAACTCCTGCTCAATCCCTGATCTCAGGGGAAGTATCATTTCTTTTACTTCCATATACTAGGTCAAGTTTGTCTGTGATATTCTCTTCCAGAATTCACTTATTTTCTTTGAACTTTTCACATTTTAATTTATACATTCATTAATTTCTTTTGTTGCATAATATAAGCTTCCCATCTAAAGTGTAACTTGCAGAAACAATGTTTTAATTCAACTTTGTTTCTACATGGATAAATTTCACATACAGGTAATATTTCTCATGAAGCTATGTCTCTGGAAAACAGACGTCATCATGACTTTCTTTAAGTATTAATACTACAGTGATTTAAAAAAATATTTAAACGTCCTGATGGATAATTATTTTTAATACAAAATGTGTTTGCGAGTGTTTGTTTTATGTGGATCAAAAATTCACAAAAAGCTTTCCTCGAAGTAGGTGTCATTATCAAAGCACTTGAAGACTAGATTCCAGATTGTTATTTTCCTGTTTTATTTTTTAAAGATGGCCTGTTGTCCTTTGATCTTGCTCTGACACCTGCACCAACCTACTTCTCTCTTCTTAAGGGGTCCCTGTAGGATCTGAGATCATGTGGATAAAATTAAAATGGAGATCATGTGATTGAAACTATTCTTCACAACTTCTCCCAAAACACACAGACAAATATTCACATAAACATTTGGATTCGATTTTCAAAGGGTCTAATTTGGCTTTCAAATTTCATATCTCCACTGGATAAATTTTCTCACACCAACTGCGAAATAGAAAGTGCTTAAAATTAGTAGTTTTGTGTTGAAAAATTCCCTTTCACTGACATTCTAATATTTCTCTACTTCTTTAATACATTTCAAAAAAACTACTTTTTTCATTTTATTCCAAGTTGCTTTTCTGAAAGGCTGTGTTGCCCACCAATATGAAGTGATCACATGAATATTATTGTTTAATATTTCCCCTGCAAAATGTGAACAAACAAAGATAGGGAGTAGGGTATTCTTTGGGGATTCAGCTAAGAATTGTGGAATTACCCTTCATCTGTTTCCTTCTTAGTAATATGTTTTTTGTTCTCAGTAAAGGCCAAAAGACAAAAAGAAGAAGAAGAATTACATTGCATTTTGGACAGTATTTTAAAACAATATTAATTTGTAGAATTTACATAACTATTGCAACAGATGTAAATGAACAAAAATTGAGTCACTTTATTGTAAAATATAAACTTTAATCCCTACTTCCAGGGAGAAGTCCAAAAAAAAAGCTATTTTTCCATAGTATATAACTTAAAACAATTATATGGGCTTCAAAAAACATAATTGTTCTATTTCAAATTATTTTTCATGAAAAAAGTAACTTGAGAAAAAGGATAAAATTTTTTCAACATGTATCTCTGCTTCTAGAATCAACAGTCTTACAGTTCTAATAGACATTCTGATGATGAGGTACCCTGACTCAACCATTTAATGTTAACTAAGTACTTCAACAATAACTCTGTAATAAATGGTCTCTGAAGACAGGATAAGAAATTGTAAAAATTAATTCTATGTCCCTCCTCACTCTTCCCTCCTAGCTTCAAAATAAGGTTAATATCTTCTTGAACAGTTTCCAAAATGACTCAATTAAACATTCCCCAGATATCTACCTTTTGCTTACTTTTTATCAGGGCAATATCTCTGACACAGCTCTGCCAAGTCGGAAATTTGGGGTTAATTTAGAATATCTCTTGTTTTTTTTACAGCTTGAAGAAAAGATAAAGGTCAGCAGCCGCTTAAGGAGAAGAACAGAAGTCACAAGTTAGAAATAAACAAAGGAAGTTCCTTTGCAGTACAGCTATTTAAAACATATGCCAATAAAATGTTCAAAGGATTTCTACAGAGCTCCGAAGATAAACATATTTTTTTTGTCTCGAAAAAGTTCACTTACCTGAAGCTTTAAACTAAAATATGTAACATGGCTCTGTAGAAAAAAAATATTAAAGACAGTGATTTGGCATTTTATTCATTTACTAGGGCTTTTAGTGCACTTGACCATGAAGGTTTACATCCCAACTCCACCTTCTATTAGCTGTGGGGCTTGGGGCAAATCCTTTAATATTCTCTTGTCCCAGTTACCTTATTTGAAAAAGGAAAATAATTATCATAACTTATGGAAGTGTTAAATGAATTAAAACACACAAAATACTAAAATAGTGTCAGCCATGCAGTAAATCCTCATTAAATGCCTGTTATCCTTACCAATTTTATTATTATCATCATCATCATTTTAATGATGGTGGGTCATTGAAAAGTGTATTAGCCAGAGTTTCCCAGAGAAATCGACCCAATAGGATGTGTGTGTATATATAGAGAGAGATTTGTTTTAATGAATTGGCTCATATGATTATGGAGACTGGCAAATTCAAAATTTGTAGTTCAAGTCTGAAGGCTATCAGCTAGAGACTCAGAAAAGAACAGATGTTGCAGTTCAAGTCCAGAGCCCATCTGCTGCAGAATTTCTTCTTCATCAGTGGGGGTCAGTCTTTTGTTCTATTCAGGCCTTTGACTGATTAGATGAGGCCCACTCACATTATGGAGGGCAATTTTGCTATTTTCTAACACTAAATTTTAAACTATTATGAAAATATTGTCTTGACTCCTATTAATCTTAATTTTGAAATTTCTTCTTTAAACCTAAATGATGTTTCTGATAGACCATTATACAACTAAGACAAATAAATCCATTTATTCATTCAGGAATTATTTATTACAGGGCTACTATATACCAGGCTTTGTTCTAGGCATTTGGGACACAAAAGTGAACAACAATAACTAAAAAGAAGACACCAATAAATCTTTGCTTAATGGAGCTTGCACTGTGGTAGAGGAAGACAATAAGCAGGAAATATGAAAAATAATTTAGTTTTGTAATGTTAGAAGGTGTTGTGTGCTATAGCGAGAAGTAGAAGGTGACCTAGAAGACCTGAAGTGCTAGGTCTGGCAGGACCTGGCAGTATAAAACAGGATGGTCAGATAGGTCCTGGTGGTAGTGCTGTGAGGCATCCGAATTCCAGGGTCAGAGAGTTCTTAGCACAGCAAGAGCCAGAAAGCAAAGACTTCCCTGAATGAAGCAAAATGGTAGGCATGGGAAGGTCTGGGAGAAATATTCCAGGCAGGAAAACAGCAAGCACAAACCCATGAGGATAGAAGAAACTAGCCAGTGTGACTAGAGAGGAATAGAGGAATTCAAACTCCAGATCACAGAGGCTTTGCAAGCCACAGGGAAGACTCTGTACTCTAGAGGAAGTGGTCAGTAGAGATCAGTTGAGAGTTACATTTCTAAGACAGAGTGAACAGGACTTGATGGATTGAATGTTGGATATGAATGAAAGAAACAAATCAAGGATGGCTCCTAGGTTTCACAACAACTGAGAACGTTGTGGTAATACTTACTGGCCAGTCCTTACTTGTCTTGCAACATAATTTACATCACAATTTTTTTCAGATGCAAGCTTAACAGCTGCCTTAAAAATATGATTGAAATGACAGTTACATTTTGCCCATCATATCAGAAATAAAAATCCAGCTTGAATCAATATATGCATGTTTTTATTTAATATTTCTGTTCTTCCTATATTATATGTAAGTACTAATTAAAAATTTAATGGATATTATCTATAAATCTACTGAGGAAAAGGAAAGAAAAATCTGGAGACTAGTTTCCAATCATTTAATGTTGCCATACTTTCTACTTAATGAGAGTGAAAATGAGGTAACCAACACTACACATCTGCTATTAAACTTAAGAAAGGCCATTTTATAGGCATTAAACTCCTGTGGTCTGCTAAATGTTCCTGCTCACTCACCTATTGGGAGGGTAATTACTATTCTAAGATTGCTAAAGCAATAGAATATGCCTTTATCTATTTTCCTTCAGGCTGAACATTTTAAAATGTTTTTAAAAGTTCACTTTCCGGATTCCTTGTTTGATTTATGAGAATTAAGGTGACATTACCACATCACCTCAATCAACTCTGATAATGCATTCCTTAACTAATAAAAATTCCCCCATAATAATAATAAGTTTATTTTCCTGTGAGGCATTTTTAATTGCACAGGGCACGGCTATAATTGAAATATATTCATTTTGGGTTGACATTTTAATTATCCCATTAGCCAGAATATAGACTCTGAACAGCGAAGTTTAGCTTATGTTATGAACTTTGAAAAACATTCTTTGGTAGTTTAGAATTAATGTTTTTAGCCATTCTTATAAACATTCCATTAGTTTTCTTCTCCTGAAATCCTTTAAATGTGGGAGACTTTTCTTTAAATTCTACCTTTTCTCCCTTAGTGCATTTAATATTTTCCCCTAAATTATTAACTTTCCTCTTGCATGTCTCAAGGAAAATTAAACCTCATTGCACCTCTTACCCTACAACTGTCATTTTGAAAACTTTCTTTGCCCTTATTTTTAAACAAGGGTATGTGTTCAACATAATTTACAGAACTTTTAAACTTTTAAAGCTCATAGCATTTGATCTTGACTCTGTGGCCATGAAAAATGCATGAGAATTTTTATTATTATTTTGCAAAAATAATTATAATTATTTCATCAGGTCGCAAGTTCCAACCAGATTTCTGGGAAAGTAAAAGAAATGGTCAGTTAATCCTTGGACCTAAATGCAATGGTATTTCAGGAGTTTCACCTAGGAGATAAGAATAGCCTAGTAATTGTCAGGGAGTAGTAAGCCTTAAGTAAAGTTAATACAAAAATGTTTAATGCCCAGCAAGAGAGCAATCAGACAGGGAAAGACAAAACCTATCAATGTAAAAATCTTAATTACTTCAAAGAGAACTGGCTGTATTGGGGGCTGACTTCGGAGTAATGTCCTCTTTGAGGAATGTTACCATAACTCCTCTTATGCTATGCTGTAGTTATGCAAGATTGAGAACAAATAAATGTTCCTAGGTATCAAAGATAGGAGGAAAGGAATCATTATAGCTATTTCACAAATTTATGCTTTGTAATTTACTTTGAACTTTTACATACAGAAAAAAAAATGGACATGAACTAGTTTACATGTGGTTTTAATCCCTCTGGACCAGCTGGTGAGTATAGAAGGCCAAAAGGACAATCAGTTAGCTCATTGAGGTGGCTGAAGCATTGGCTATGATCTTACTCTACTTCACGGTTCTCTCAATCTTAGGTCTTCAACTCCTCTCAATCCTTAATCTTTCCTTCTTTCTCTATACTCCTTGTGATCTTAATCTAATCTCATAATATGTAATACCAAAGACTTTCCATTGTGAGACACATCGGAAAAGAAATATAACCAAAGACTATATTATATATTAAAATGCACTCCAAATTTCAAAATACAAAAATGTGAATTACAGGTTGACTTTCAATCAGGAAACATAATTTGAACCTGTCATCAAACCTTGTCATGTGTTTTAAATGCTCCTTCCTTTTCCACCTAAATTCTAGACCTTTTCATTTCAAGTCTGGAGCACTTAAAAACAGAGTCTCAGTTGATATCCTTGCTTCTAGGATTAAAGGAACGAAAGTAACATCTTGATAAGAGCTCTAAACTCAAACTTTCTGATTTTATCTTACGGGTTCACCACTTAGTATATGTGACTTTGGGCAAATGATTCTAACCTCTTTGTGGTTCTTTTCCTCATCTATAGATCAAGTATAAAAATGGTAATTTTCTCATGAAATTGTTATGAAGCTTACATAAAGGAATACACAGAAAGTGCTATAACAACATCTGTAAATCTAACAAGCACTAAAAATATGTTAGCTATGAATATGGTTTGATTGCTTTTGTTCCCTCCAACATTCATGTTAAAGTTTAATCCCCAATGCAACAGTATTGGGAGTTGTGGACTTTGAAAGCTGATTGAGTCAGAGCCCTCATGAATGGGATTAGGCAACTTTTATGAAGGGCTTGACTGAGGGAGTTTGTCCCTTTTCACCCTTCTGTCCCTCCGCTCTGTGAGCATGCAGTGTTCCTCCCATGCAAATGATGCCAAAACTCCATCTTGGAAACAGAAAGCAGTCCTGTCCAGACAGTTGAGCCTGCTGGTGCCCTGATCTTGGACTTCCCGGTCTCCTGAACTGTGATAAATAAATTTCTGTTCTTTATAAATTGCCTACTCTCAGGTATTTTTTGTTATAGCAGCACAAAACAAACTAAGACAGCTATTGTTATGGGCTGAATTATGTCTCCACAGAATTTCTATGTTAAAGTCTTAACCCCTAGTAGCTCAAAATGTGACTGTATTTGGAGACAGAGCATTTAAAGAGGCGATTAAGTCAAAATGAAGCCTTTAGAGTAGGCATAATCAAATCTGATTGTGTCCTTATATGAAGAAGAAATTGAACACACAGACAGACACTAGGAGTGCATATGCAATGGGAAACAACCACGACAGCAAGATGGTGACCACCATCAAGAAGGAGAGAGGTCTCAGAGAAATGAAATCTATTGATACATCAGTCTCAGACTTTCAACCTGCAGGATGGTGAGAAAATACATTTCTTTTGCTCAAACCACCTTATCTATAGGATTTTGTTATGGCAGTCCTAGAAAACTAATATAGCTATTAAGACACTACATTCCAATTCATTCAGTATGAATGTATTAGTATCAGGCTTCCTAAAATATTAATTAATTAAGCCATTAAAAATATATATTTAGCTGAGTGAGGTGGCTCATGACTGTAATCCCAGCACTTTGGGAAGCAGAAACAGGCAGATCACTGGAGGTCAGGAGTTTGAGACCAGCCTGGCCAACACAGTGAGACTCCATTTCTACAAAAAATATAAAAATTAGCCAGGCTTGGTGGTGCATGCCTTTAGTCGCAGCTATTCGGGAGGCTGAGGCAGGAGAACTGCTTGAGCCCAAGAGACGGAGGTTGCCGTGAGCTGAGATCGTGCCACTGCACTCCAGCCTGGGTGACAGAGTGAGACTCCATCTAAAAAAAAAAATTAAAAAATAATATATATATATATATATATATATATAGAGAGAGAGAGAGAGAGAGAGAGAGAGAGAGAGAAAGAGAGCAATTGAATGTCTATATGTATTAGCTGTTATTCTAAACACTAAGAATACAGTGACAACTAAAATCAGCAAATTCACTGGACAAACAGATGGGGCGGGGGAGGAGGAGACAGACAACAAGTAAAACAAGTCTAAAACAAGATGACTTATATTGTAATAATTGCTAGGACGCTATGAGTCAGATAAAACCAGGTGACATGACAGGCATGAAGGTGATAGTTACATTAGATTGGGGGTAGAAGGAATCACAGAAGACATCACAAGTGTCTTTTTAAGAATGTGATACGTGGCCGGGCATGGTGGCTCATGCCTGTAATCCCAGCAATTTGGGAGGCCAAGGCAGGTGGATCACCTGAGGTCAGGAGTTCAAGACCAGCCTGGCCAACATGGCAAAACCCCATCTCTACTAAAAATACCAAAATTAGCCAGGTGCAATGGCACATGCCTGTAATCCCAGCTACTTAGAGGCTGAGGCAGGAGAATCGCTTGAACCCAGGAGGCAGAGGTTGCAGTGAACCAAGGTCACACCACTGCGCTCCAGCCTGGGCGATAGACTGAGACTCTGTCTCAAAAAGAAGAAAAAGAAGAAGAAGAAGAAAAAAGAATGTCATACAATATGAGGCTGGCTTCTTTCACCCTGCATGCAGCCTTTGAGATTTGACTAAGTTGTTATATTTTTTATTTCAACCATCAGACATATTTTAAAGAAGAGAACCAATCTATTATATTTACACAGACAATTACCATTTCTGCTCTTCCTTCATCTTGATGGTCTAAATTTTCTTCTGGTAGTATTTCCCTTCTGTCTGAAGACTTTTTAAAATAATTATTTTAGAACAGCTTTGCTGCTGAATTACTTCTCCTAGTTTTCCTTCATCTGAAAATGTTTATATTTCAATTTCATTCCTGAAGGATATTTTACTGAATATGGAATTCTGGGTTGAGAGTTCACTCTTTCAGCTCCTTAAAAATTTTGTCCTACTTTTTTCTTGCCTCCATAGTTTCTAAAGACAAAACAAAATCACTTGAATTATTGTTCCCTATAAGTAGTGGGTCACTGTTCCTCAGTACCATTAAGGTTATATATATATAAGTATAACTTAATAAGGTTCTATATATATAACTAAATATATATATATATTTATTTCAAGAATTTAATTATTATTTAGTTCAAGAATTTAATTACTATGTGTCTGGGTTTGGATTTCTTTGAGTTTGTCCTGTTTAGGATTTGCTGAACTCCTAAAATCTGTAGATTCATCTCTTTACCCAAATTTGGAAAATTTTCAGCCATTATATCTCCAAATACTTTTTCAACATCATAGTCTTTCTCCTTTCCTCTGAGTTTTTAATGGCATAAATGTCTTACCTCCTGTTATTGTGCCATAGGTTCCATTTATATTTTTTCACTATTTTTCCTTAAATGTTCACATTGGATAATTTCTATTAATCTATCTTTGAGTTTACTGATGATTTCTTCTATCATCTTCATTCTGAAATTGAACCTGTTTATTAATGTTTTTGTTGCTATTATTGTATTTTCAGTTCTAAAATTTCCACTTATTTCTTCTTTGCATCTTCCATTTCTCTGCTGAGATTTTCTATCTTTTCATTCATTTTAAGAGCCTTCACCCTTACTTCTTCAAGCTTTTTTTTATGATAGCTGTTCTGAAGTATTTTTCAGATAATTTCAAAACATATGTCATCTTGGCATTGCCTTTTCCCATATAAGCAGAAGTTTTTATGTTCTTCATGTCCCAAATAATTTTAGATTCCATCTTGGAAGTTTCAATATTATGTTATGAGACTCCACTTCTTACTAAAATTCTATAAAGAATGTTCATATTGTAGTATTAACAGGTAATATATATAGTTAACATCCAGTCACAAGTTCCAACCAGATTTCTGTGAGTGTCAGTTCTGTTTTCTAACCTTTCCAATGATTACTCATATCTCTCCCCTGTGTAAGCCACTCAGTGGTCAGTCTGGTACCTGGATGATCATTGGTGATTTATCTGTTACTTCATTCTCAATGTCTTTGGCATGTGTTTATGATGAGATCTGATTCATGAATTTAGAGCTCAGGAGTGACCCCAGGTGTTTATAAATAACTTTATAGTTCTCTTTTCCAAGCCCCTTCCATTTTTGAGCCTTGGTCAAAAGCAGAGGTTCAGTTGCCCCCATTCTGCTGCACGCTTCTATGACTCTATGCCTGTATAGGGCCAATGGGTATAGGCCCTATCGGGGCCTGCATAGGGCCAACGAGCATAAGGCCAGTGGAAAGGGGTTTACTCAACCTTTTTGGAACCATAATTCCTCCAACTGGAGAAGATCTTCCCTTTGAATTTTTGATACCTCTAGGCTTCTGCTATCACCACTGTTGCTGCTGTTTCCATAGCCAATGTGGATTTATGTGTTAGAAAAATGGTAAAAGAACAAAAACAATGAAAAACAAATGGGGGCTTTTTCCCACTCTGAGCATTTGGAGACCCCTTTCTCATTGCTCAAGATACAGGATTTCTCCCAGAACTCTTCCTAACGACATGAGCATTTGGAGACCTCTTTCTCATTGTTCAAGATACAACTAGAGGCCTTCTCCCAGAACTCTCTCTAACTACATCTTGGTGCCCTCCTTTGAGTTTGGGACTTCTTTGCATCAGGCCAGGATATACCAGAAGAAAATGGGAAACTCACCACCAATTTGGTGTACTTTGAATTTGGGTCTTCTTTCCTTATCTGTCAGCTACTCCTTACTTTTCAAGGGCCTGAAATATATACTACATAATTCTGTCTAGGTTTTAGAGCTGTATTTGATGGAGATACAGATAAAATATACCTACTTCTCTACCCATGATCAGAACTTCCACTTACTCCTTTCAATTATTAGGTTTCAAATAATTTATGTACTTGCTGTTGATTTGAGTGAGTCTTTTTTTTCTTAATATAAAAATATAAGATATGGCCATGTCAAAAAAAAAAAAATAAACGAATGCACAGAGATCCAGTGAAATAAGTGGATCCTGGCTTCAAGGACCAAGGTGATATGTAGATTCGGAGTACCAGATCAAAAAGCTAAAGCTTACAAACCATGAGTTCCTCATGACAGATATGAAGGCATATCCATACTTGTGCATACAACACACAATCAATTTAAAGACACCAATATGATACTCAGCAAACAGCTGTTTCTTGTTCGATTGCTTCAAGATATGGTAAATGAGTATTGAGACAAAATGTGCTCCTAGAATTCCTGAGGTTTGGTACTCAATCACCTAATAATTTACCTAATCACATTATCATTGGACTGCATGGAAAATAAACTGGCTTCTGAATAACTTTTGGGCAACCAACAAAATTAAGGCAGAATTTTTCAAAAAACAATCTTTGAAATAAAGGAAAACAGAGACACAACATACCAAAATATCTGGGATGCAGCAAAAGCAGTGTTAAGAGGAAAGTTTATAGCACTAAACACCTACCTAAAAAGTTGAAAATATCTCAAATTAATGATCTAGAGGAACAAGAAAATCACACCTAGAGGAACAAGAAAAGCAACAACAAAGTAGCTCAAAACTAGCAGAAGAAAAGGAATAATGAAAATCGGAGAAGAAATGCATGAAATTAAGACTCCAAAATGCTTACAAAGAATTGATAAAATCAAAAGTTGGTTTTGTGAAAGCACAAACAAAATGGTTAGATCAGTAGCTAGATTAACAAAGAAAAAAGAGAGATGATACAAATAAGCACAATCGAAATGATAAAGGTGACATTACAATTGATCCTACTGAAATACAAAAGATCCTCAGAGGCTATTATGAACACTTCTATTCACAAAAACTAGGAAATCTAGAGGAAATGGATAAATTCCTGGAAACACACAGGAATCAAGAAGAAATTGAAACTCTGAACAGACCAAGATTGGGTCCCAAAATTGAATCAGTGATAAAAAACCTACAAACCAAAAACAGCCCTAGACCAGACGGATTCACAGCTGAATTCTACTAGATGTACAAAGGAGGAGCTAGTACCAATTCTACTGAAACTATTCAAAAATTCAAGGCTGAGGAACTTCCTAACTCATTCTACAAAGCCAGCATAATCCTGATACCAAAACCTGGGAAAGACACAAAGAAAAGAAAATTAGGCTGGGTATGGTGGCTCACAAATGTAATCCCAGCAATTTCAGAGGCCAAGGTAGAAGAATTCCTTGAGCCCAGGAGTTTGAAACCAATCTGGCAAGATAGAGAGACCCTAACACTACAAAAAATAAAAAATTAACCAGGTGTGGTGGCACATGCCTGTAGTCCCAGCTACTTGGGAGGCTGAAGTGGGAGGATTGCTTGAGCCTGGGAGGTCCAAGCTGAAGTGAGCCATGATTAGGCCACTGTACTCCAGCCTAGGCAACAAAGTGAGATCCTGTGTCAAAAACAAACAAACATACAAACAAACAAAAAAAAAAAAACAAGAAAGAAAAAAAACTGCAGGACAATGTCCCTGATAAACAAAGATGAAAAAATCCTCAAAAATTGCTAGCAAATCAAATCCAGTAGCACACATCTGTATTAGTCAGAGTACTCTTAGAGAACCCTGGAACCTAGAACTAATAGGATATATATAGATATATATATCTCTTGATATATATATCGGAGTTTATTAAATATTAACTTATATGATCACAAGGTCCCACAATAGGCTGTCTGCAAGCTGAGGAGAAAGGAGAGACAGTCCACGTCTCAAAACTGAAGAACTTGGAGGCCAATGTTCCAGGGCAGGAAGCATCCAGCCTGGAAGAAAGATGTAGGCTGGGAGACTAGGCCCATCTCGGCTTTTCATGTTTTTCTGCCTGCTTTATATTCGTTGGAAGCTGATTAGATTGTGCCCACCAGATTAAGGGTGGATCTGCTTTCCCCAGCCCACTGACTCAAATGTTAATCTCTTTTGGGCAACACCCACACAGACACACCCAGGATTAATACTTTGTACCCCTCAATCCAATCAAGTTTACACTCAGTATTAACCATCACAACATCAAAAAGCGAATTCACTACAATCTAGTAGGCTTCATTCCTGGGATGTAAGGTAAGCTGAACACACACAAATCAGTGTGCTTCATCACATAAACAGAATTACAAGCAAAAACCATATGATCATCTCAATAGATATGGAAAAAGTTTTTGATAAAAATCCACCATTCCTTCATGATAAAAATTCCTAACAGACTAGGCATAGAAGAAACATACCTCAAAATAAAAAGTATTAAAAGAAAAAACCATATGATCATCTCAATAGACATGGAAAAGGTTTTAGATAAAAATCCAACATTCCTTCATGATAAAAATTCTTAACAGACTAGGCATAGTAGAAACAAACCTCAAAATAAAAGAAGCCAATTATGACAAACCCACAGCTGACATAATACTGAATGAGCAAAAGCTGGAGCATTCCTTTTGCGAACCAGAACAAAACAAGGATGCCCATTCTCACCACTCCTATTCAACATAGTACTGGAAGTCCTAGCCAGAGCAATGAGGCAAGAGAAAGAAATAAAAGGCATCCAAATAGGAAGGAAGAAGGCAAATTGTCTCTCTTCACTGACAATATGAGAGTGACCTATAAAATCGTAAAGACTCTGCCAAAAGGCTCCTGAAACTGATAAATGACTTCAGGTAAGTTTTAGGATACAAAATCAATGTACAAAAATCAGGAGCATTTCGAGACTAATAACATTCAAGCTGAAAGCCAAATCAAGAACACAATCATATTTACAGTAGCCACAAAATAAATAAAATACTCAGGAATATATCTAACCATGGAGGTATGTATTAGGTCGTTCTTGCATTGCTATTAAAAAAACAAACAAAAAAAAAAAACCCAAAAAACAAAAAACCTGATACTGGGTAATTTAAAAGGAAAAGAGGTTTAATTAGCTCATGGTTCTGCAGGCTGTCCAGGAAGCATGGCACCAGCCTCTGCTCAGCTTCTGGGGAGGCCTCAGGCAGCTTTTTCTCGTGACAGAAGCAGGAGTAGGCACTTTGCATGGTGAGAGCAAGCGCAAGAGGAGGGGGAGGTGCCACACACTTTCAAACAATCAGATCTTGTGATTCACTATTGCGAGGACAGCACCAACCCATGAGAGAATCTGCCCCCATGATCCAATCACCTCCCACCAATTCCCCCACCTCCAACACTGGGGATTACAATTCAACATCAGATTTGAGTGGAGACAAATATCCAAACTACATCAAGGTAAAAGATCTCCACAAGGAGAACTGCAAAACACTGCTCAAAGAAATCAAGGTGATACAAATGATATTGTTTGGCTCTGTGTCCTCGCCCAAATCTCACCTTGAATTTATAATAATTGGCTGGGCGTGGTGGCTCACACCTGTAATCCCAGCACTTTGGGAGGCCGAGCTGGGCAGATCACGAGGTCAGGAGAGCAAGACCATGCTGGCTAACAGGGTGAAACCCGGTCTCTACTAAAAATACAAAAAATTAGCTGGGCGTGGTGGCGGGCACCTGTGGTCCCAGCTACTCAGGAGGCTGAGGCAGGAGAATGGCACGAACCCGGAAGGAGGAGCTCGCAGTGAGTGGAGATAAAGCCACTGCATTCCAGCCTGGGTGACAGAGCAAGACTCTGTCTCAAAAATAAATAAATAAATAAATAATATAATAATCATCCCCATGTGCTGTGGGAGGGACCTGGTGGGAGGTAGTTGAATTATGGGGGCAATTTTTTCCTATGCTGTTCTTTTAATAGTGCATAAGTCTCACAAGATCTGATGGTTTTATAAAAGGGCAGTTCCCCTGCACATGCTCTCTTGCCTGCTGCCATGTAAGACATGGCTTTGCTTCTCCTTCACCTTCTGCCACGATTGTGAGGCCTCCCCAACCATGTGGAACCGTTAAGTCCATTAAATCTCTTTCCTTTAGAAATTACCCAGTCTTTGGGTATGCTTTTCATTAGCAGCATGAGAACAGACCAATATAACAAATAAAAGGAAAAACATTCCATGCTAATGGATTAGAAGAATCAATATCATTAAAATGGCCATATTGCCCAAAGTAATCTACAGATACAACACTATTCCTATGAAACTACCAACATCATTTTTCACAGCGTTAGACAAAAACTATTCTAAACTTCATATGGAACCAAAAAAGGAGAGCAGAAATAGCCAAAGCAATCCTGAGCAAAAAGAAAAAGCTGGAGGCATCACCCTATCTGACTTGAAACTATCCTATTAGGCTATAATAACTAAAACAGCATGGTACTGGTACAAAAACTGACACACAGGCCAATGGAACACAATAGAGAACCCAGAAATAAAGCTGCACATCCACAGTTATCTAATCTTCAACAAAGTTGACAAAAACAAGCAATGGAGAAAGGACTCCCTATTCAATAAATGGTGCTAGGATAGCTGGCTAGCCATATGCAGAAGAATGAAACTCCTCCCCTGCATTTCACCATATACAAAAACTAACAAAAAATGGATTGAAGATTTCAATGTAAGACCTCAAACTATAAGAATCCTAGAGGAAAATCTAGGAAACATAATTTTGGACATTGACATTGGAAAACAATATATGACTAAGACCTCAAAAGCAATTGCAACAGAAACAAAAATTGACAAGTGAGACCTAATGAAACTACAGAGCTTCTGCTTAGCAAAAGAAACTACCAACAGCGTAAGCAGACAACCTACAGAATGGGAGAAAATATTTTCAAACTATGCATCCAACAAAAGTCTAATATCCAGAATCTATGGGGAACTTAATTCAAGAAGCAAAAAGTAATATCCCGTTAGAAAGTGGGCAAAAGACATGAATAGGCATTCTCAAAAGAAGGCATAGGAGAAGACTATAAATATATAAGAAAATGTCAACATCATTACATCAGAGAAATGCAAATCAAAACCACAATGAGATACCATCTCACACCAGTCAGAATGGTTATTGTTAAAATGTCAAAAAAAAAAAAAAAGATACTGGTGAAGCTGTGGAGAAAACGGAATGTTTATACACTGTTCATGGAAGATTTCTCAAATAACTTAAAACAGAATGACTGTTCAGCTGAGCAATTTCATTACTAAGTATATATCCGAAACAAAATAAATCATTCTATAAAAAAGACACATGCACTCATATGTTCTTTGCAGCACTATTCACAATAGCAAAGACATGGAATCAACCTAGGTGCCCGTCGAGAATGTACTGGATAAAGAAAATGTGGTACATATACCCCATGGAATACCACATACCCATAAAAAAAATTATGTCCTTTGCAGCAACATGGATGCCGTTGGAGGCCGTTATCTTAAGGGAACCATAGGAACAGAAAAACAAATACCACATGTTCTTATTTCTAACTGGCAGCTAAACACTGACTACTCATAGAAACTGAGGACTACTAAGGGTGGGGAGGAATGCAAGGGGGCAAAGGTGGAAAAATTCTTGGGTACTATGCTCACTACCTGGTTGATGGAATCAATCATACCCAAAACCTCGGCATCACGTGATATTCCCATGTTACCCATGTAACAAACCTGCACATGTATCCCTTGAATCTAAAATAAAAGTTGAAATTATTTTAAAAAAGAACCAATGATTATGAGATCAAATTAAGACTTATGTACTTTCTAGAAACGGAAAGTTCCTAAAGAATTATTTACTTCAAAGCCATAAATTGCTTTATCTTAGTACCTAATTCATATTTTGTAGTCAAGAAAATTAAAGTGCAGACATGCTAAGTAGCCTGCATAAGAGCATAAAGTTTGTTATTCATAAAAACAAGGGGTTTAACTATGTTCTTAGGACTCATAGTTGGGATAGGTTGGTAGACAGGTACAAAATGCCTTGTAGTTAAAAACTTTACTTATTCATTTTATGTTATTTTGATGTTATATTTGATGTTAAACAAGGGGTTTAACTATGTTCTTAGGACTCAGTTGGGATAGGTTGGTAGACAGGTACAAAATGCCTTGTAGTTAAAAACTTTACTTATTCACTTTATGTTATTTTGATGTTTATATTTTGATGTTTATATTTATGTTACTTTGATGTCTTGCTAAGAAATTAAAGATATCATGGAAGTATAGGAAAAATTCTTCATTGTAAAGTTACTTGAAATAATCTTTTTCTCCATTTTCTTATGTCAGCAATTTGATACACAGTTTCATTTATTTCAGTTTGTTTTCAATTTTTATGTTTTTAAGTATTGGTTTGTTTACTAATTTTCATTTTTGTCTAAACATATTTATCAATCTTTCATTACTTCTCAATTTTAAGTCAATAGTTAGGAAAGTTTTCCTTATTATCAGAAAAAAGATTGCACCTATGTTTTACTTGAGTTTTTTATTAATGGTTCCTCTTTTTATATTTAGGTTTTCCATTTATCTTGAGTTTATCCAGCCTGGTACAGATCCAGTTTCGACTCTTTGTATTAATAATTAGCCATCCAATTGTCCCAACATCATTTATTAAACGGTAACACTTTTTCTCTGATTGAAGATGTTAATTTCACAAAAAACTAAATTTCCGTACAAAGTTGAGATGACTTCTGGAGTTTCTTTCTGTACCATTGACCAAACTTTCTATTTGTATGACAATACCACACAGTATGAATTTTAAAAGATCCTTAACTTTTTAATATATATCTGGTATGGCTAGATGCCCCAATTTTTAAAAAGATTTTTTATGGAAACTATTTTTTGTAATTTTATTTTCATATGAACATTGCAATTAAATTAGTTATGGCTACAGCTAAGGTTACCATTAATGTGAGGATTAGTTTTGGTGTAAGAGCTGCCATATTTTTTATGCTCCATCCTTCATGTCTTTTGTAGTTAGGATTTTCTTAGATCGCAAGTAATCAGAAATTAAACCAACTTGACTTTCAAATTAAGGGACACTTTTTCTCACAAAACAAGAATGCTAAAAGTTAGCACCTGTTGTTATTAATTCCACTGTTCAAAAATACAAGGATGGATTTCCCAATTCTCTGGTTTTCTCCTTGTTGTCTCAAGATGGCTGCAGCTCCAGGCATCAAGTCTTCACAGCATATTTGAAGAAAAGGCACAGGACTTTCCACAGTTCTACTAATTCACCAGGTTATACTCATCATTCTTTTCCTTATACTCCCAAATACCCAAGCCTTTCTTTCTTTCTAAGTTAACTGTCTGGAAAACACAAGACACAGAGGAAACAAATCTCTTCCTTCCCACTACTATGCACTGAGACCCTAATTGTATATGAAGAGAAACAGACCGCCACATTGACTCCCAAATTAGCATCTGTAGTTTGGACCTCTCAGGTGAACTCCATATTCAGTCACAGACTACTTGACATCTATACCTGGATGTATAATAGACATCTTCATGTGTTTTCATGTCCAAAATGAAGCTCTGCACATTTCCGTCTGAATGCTATACTTCCATTGACTTCTCTTTAATTTGGGTTGTTAATATTTTTGCCCTTCATATTCCTGTTTTTTTAATGCCCTAGGTGAATGTTTCTTATTATCTGTTTTTTCCTTCTTTAAACATGTTAACATAGTTGTTCTATACTCTAACTTAATCATTTCAATATTTGAAATCTTGGCAGTCTTTTCCTGATATCTGTGCTTCTGCTGAGGCTTGCTGTTTTTTTGTGTGTTTGGGTATATTTGTATATCACTCATTACCCTATTTTGACATTACACATGAAGGCAAACCAGCTGGATATAATGGAGCATTGGCTGATCTTGTCTCTTTAGTGGTTTCTAATCTTTAATCTTTAGGAAATTAGAGTGAGTCCCATGTATCTGTCTATTTTCCTTTATTGTAGTGTTTGCAATTAGAGCAATCATTTATTTATCAGTGATTTGGTAGAGCAAATTTGTTTCTTAATGTTTTGTTCTATGTGGCTTTACCAAACAATATTTTAAGGATTATCTATAAAAGCTTACTTTGTAATAGCATTTTGCTGAAAAACACACCCGCAGGAATAAAATATATTTAATACATTTGGTTTGAGATTTCTCCTCTCATCATTTTGTTTATTCCAAATCAAAATAAAAGACAGTATATGGTTAGCTTCATTTTTATTCAGAATATACTTAAAGACTTAAGTATGTTTTCTAAATCTTACTGATACTTTAAATAAAATATTCAGTGTCAAGAATTATGAGACTTGAATAACCAAAAAGACTAATAATGTTCCTGGTTGAGAAAATTCAACACTGTAAATCTGTAAATTTTTTAAAGTGTACCTGCAAATTTAATGTATTACCAACTGAAATACCATGAGATAATATTTTGGAGCTTGACAATTGACTATAAAATTTATGTTAAAGAACGACTAATAAAAAGAAATGCTGAAAAAGAATAAAATTAAGGAAACTTTTCCAACTAGAGGTTAATATATATATTCCTGACTCAGGAATAAATAAATCAATGAAAAAAATAAAATATTCAGAGACAAACTTAGTATATAAGATCATATAATAACAATAGTGAAAATAACTATTTAATTATTGGTATTTAGACAAGTTTTAACCACTTGAAAAAATTAAATAGCAAAATACTCACCATACGTTAATATAGTTTCCAGACAGAGTAATAATTGAAAGCAATGAATATGGTATTATGAGATCAAGCTCTATTAAGTTTTGTAATGTAGCAGCCTGGGAATAAGAGATTTCAAAATTGCTTAAAAAATGTATGGGTAAATAGCCATATAATCTTAGGGATTACATGCCAAAAGCAAAGATCATGAAGGAAAATAAATGGCTTTCTACATAAATTTTAAACCACTAGATAATTTTTAAAAACCACAAAAAATATTAACCATTGAAAGATAATGACACACTGAAAAAATACATTTTCAAAAAATTATTTAGTCTCATTATTACTAGATAAATGCTGAATAGAATACTTTTCTATTATAAATTTGATAAGCATAAAATATTTATATTTAATACTAAAATAGGTGACCTTTTCTAGAAAATAGGTAATTTTATAAATTATTGTTGAATAAACTATGCTAATTTTTCTGAATACTTTAAAAATGTTTTATCTTTAACCCATCAATTTTACACTGAGGAATTTTTTTTTAATATGGAGAAAACATTTTACTTATATTTAACACTTATAATAGAAAATCATTTTTTAAAGCCCGAAATACACAGTAGATAATTGCCAAATAACATTTATTGGATCCATGCATGGATACAATAAATATTGTATATTATTTTTATTATTAAGAATGTATTTAACTATTATCAAGTAAAAATACACAGATTGTAGGACAGTATTTACAGTTTATTTTTATATATACTCATGTATAATTAGGGTAGGGTAGAATTGGGTAGTAGGGGAATCTAATAAATATGGTAGCAAATCTGAAGGGGCCATTTACCAGCTATATGAACATATTCCATGACTCTAAAATTCCATTTCTTTATATTGTAATGCACATGTGCTTCTGGATATATCTATAAGAATGTTCATAGCAGCATTATTCGTAATAGCTCCACCGGTAATAGAATGGATTTTTTTAAATGAAGCATATTCGCAAAGCAATGAAAGTAAATTGAATGTATATAGGATATAGCTACACACAAGTGTGACTCTCATAAATATAATGTTGAGCCAAATAAACCATAATTCAGGCATACAGTATGATTCTATTTATATGGTTTACAATTGTAGTAAAACTAAACCACATTATTTATGGCAAACAAGTATGTGGCAAAATTATGAAGAAAGGCAGGGGAACAATTATTACATAAGGATAGAAGTTACTTCCAGAGGCAGGTTATTATGATCAATGATCCTATGGCTTCTGGGGTGCTAGTCGTATTCTAGTTCTTAACTGCTGAAGAAAATGGAAGGAATTGCATGAGAGTTCACATTTTAAGTATTCACTAATTCACACATTTATGTTTTTACTCCTTATATATGTTACAAATTAAAATAAAATAAAGATTTTTAAAAGTTGGCATTATCAATTCCTTTAATCATCTGATTAATGAGCTATCACATATTGCTATGGTTTGAATGTTTGTCTCCTCCAAATTTCTTGTAGAAATTTAATTGCCATTGTAATAGTACTAAGAGGGACCTGTTTCAGAGAGGATTAGGGCATGAGGGCTCCACCTTCATGAGTAAATAATGCTATTATTGCAGGAGTAGATTCCTTGTAAAAGGGTGAGTTTGACCCTGTTATCTTTCTCTCTATCTCTCTCTCTTCCTCCCTCCCTATGTTTGCCTTGTCATGTGATGCCTTCTGCCACGTAATGATGCTACAAGAAGGTCCTTGCAAGATGCCAGTACCTTGATATTGGACTTCCCAACCTCCAGAACTATAAATCAATACGTTCTTTTCATTATAAATTACCTAGGCTCAGGTGTTCTGCTATAGCAGCCCAAAATTAACTAAGACATACACAATGGGTTAAGAAGGAATGAGGTGATCCTCTTCAGTGTCTATCATTCTGAACCACTGTTCATGTCTATTTATGTCTCATGCTGTAGGGAATATATGTGAGTTTTTCCAGTAGTGGAGTACATTTTGCTGCCCTATTCCTACCCTTAACCCTATTGCCACTGGAATTAACATGAAATATTCACAAAGCAGGTGGCCAGGTTTGCACGCCATAACTTTTATATGCCCATATGCAGTTTGAACTTATGACCTCATTAGTACCTACTGGAAATAACTGAAATAACTACCTCAAGCTAGTCCTAAAAGGAACAGTAAGTAGATAACAAAACCTAAGAAAAATAGGAATGTCCTTTAAAGTAATTAATTAAAACAACTATTAGTTATATGATGAAAACTTAAAGAAATTGATTAATAATGTCAAGGCAGATAATTTCTATATGGAGTTAGGCTATAATATTGAGATGTTATCTTTTATTTGGAGCAAAATAAAAAGAAAAATGAAAACAGGTTAAGCACCATCTTGTATGTGACGTACAGTCCATTTTTATAATTACTCTATATGAGACACACAGCTAAATATAAAGAATGAAATTTTAATTATTTTCTAATATCCAGAGAAGGAAATAAAATTGGGACATTGTTAATTATAAGTTATTCTTTAGAGAATTACTATTGATAAACAGAATCTAGATTACATATTTCTATATTTTTAAAGGTAATAGTTCAAAATTGAAGAAGGAAATACATGCAGAAGGAGATAAAGAATATATTAAATATCTATATAAACTATTATTTACCCAAATAATACTGTAATTAAATTTGAGAATAAGCCTTATAATTGCCTCAATCACTCAAGATTTAAAATAAACTCTATCTGGAAAGCATGCTTGTTTATACAGGATATTAGATTCATTTTTACTTTTAGCTTTATTAAATAAAATTATGACTAAGCATCTTGAAGAAATTTTCTTAAAAAGAAAATTTAAAAATTTAAAACAAATGACTGCTTCTTACATTACACTGATCATTTCTTCTCCAGTTTTCATAGACCATTGACCAAATATTTATCCATTTCTATTCTCTCCCAATTTAAAAATGCTTAGTTTCTTTTAGATTTGTACATTGTTATGAAAATAGATACATTTTTCTGATTTTGAAATTATTTATGTTTGCTTTAGTGTTAGCCTTAGCTTAGCCATTAGTTCTCCCCTCCCCCTTTGATGTAGAAATGATGAAAGGTAAAACGAATCTTGAGGAGCCCATTTATGTAAGTCTGAAATATTCAGGAATGGACAATGTTCCTTTTCAAGGCAATGACCCTTCCTGATTTATTAGCTTCTCCTTCTGGATTTATCCATGTGGGAAAACATTGCCAAAGCTCATTTGTCTTTTCCTGCCTGTATCCTTATGCCATGACATTGAGGAACTTTGTACTGCAAAAGTATTTTTAAAAGGTGACAAGCCTTTCCCTGTGGAACATTTAAATAATAATAAAAACCAGTTTTAATTAGGATCTGGAATAACTTCTAAGAAGGAAGTAGGAATGGAGCACAGCTCTCCACAGCTCTTACACATGATTGATTTTATGTTTCTTGAGTTATCCTTGTCTACACTTGAATGTAGCTCTGGTATATTTAAGATGTTTTTCTTTGAGAAAAATCCAGCTCTCTCTCTTCTCTCTTCTCTCTCTCTCTCTCTCTCTCTTTTTTCTTGGTAGGGTAAACAATCTCTTATGCAAGGCTGTGAAGATCACATTTCATTATTCCCAAAACTACTCACTAAGATAATTAAAAACATTTCCACTTTAGTTCTCAAAATCATAGTTCCTCACAATATTCAATTCAGAATATCAAGAAAACTAAATAGCCCAGATATTTTTTACCATTCTAATATTCGAAGCAATGTCTTCTTATAGGTATAGTTAAACATTTAGAATATTTTTGTTGGACAACATATTAACAATATTAACAAAATAATAACAAGATAATATAATCTATTTTACCCATTTTATGGAATACAAAGCCAACGACAAGAAACACAGAGTGGAAAATTTAGTATAAACAATGTTAAATCTCTTGCTTTCCACTGTAGTGCACACATTTGATGAGTATAATGATTTAAGACTGTATAATAATCTTTTGTTTCAAAAAAATTAACGATAGACAAAAGAACTTAGAAATAAGAAAATTCAGGAAATTCAGAAAAAAAAATAATAAAATTTTGGCCTTATCTACACAATAGTTTTATGAAGAACATTACTCAGAAATCTGCTTTTTCTTTATAAATGAAATTTTTTTCACACACATAAAAATAAGGTTTCTTACTTCTTACTCTCACCACTTGCATATATCTGATATCCCAAGCACAGACAATTGTCCTGTCATACACCTACCTGAAGAAGTTACTCAGTCTTTAGGAGGGAATGCAAATGATGCCTCATCTATGAAGTCTTCCCAGACACCCCAGTTTGTTCTGCCACTACACTTTGAACTTCCATCTGCTCATATTGTACTGTAATTATTGGTTCATATTTCAGTCTTTTCTATCAAAATGTGAGATTCTCCCAGGGAAGGGAACATATCATTACTTTTTCTATGGTGACAGCATTATGGTAGTCATTCAATTAGTATTTGCTAAGTGAATCAATATATAACTTATTGCTTTGTGGTAATTTCCCTGAAGTATTCTTGAGTCTCTCACATACATAATTTTTGTTTTATTTTTCCAAAAATGTTCTGTGTTAATGAATCCACCTACCTAGGTTTTAGAACAATAAAACATCTATTTTCCATCCCCCTTCTCCCCTGCATATAACCATAATCTCAGCCTCCAAGGAGAATTATTAAAAGGTATTCACGCAGTAATTACACTTTAGCAAGCTATGGAATTTCAAATAGAGATATATTTAGGTTTGCTTCTCCCTTTATTATGTTGTCAAATTATTTCCAGTATGCTTCAAAAACTAATAAATTGCACTAATTGATATTCTGATGGTTTAAAAGGATTAATGTAACCTCAAAATTTTAATGTACTACCAGGGAATAACAAAGGTCCAAAGTAAAAACATATAGAATCATTATTAACAATACTACTAAGAAGATATTTTACTGAGTTGGGGTTTCACAATTTAGAGATACGAAGAATTTAGAAAGTTTACAAAAAAAAAAAAAAAAAAAGAATTGTGATACCAGAAGATAAGAAATTAAAAACTAAAGAAGAGAACTGTTAAACAATATGGAGAAGCATGCCTAGGTATTTTTCTTTTTCCAGTGAGTATAGAACTAAAGAATATGATACCAACAGGAATTATTTTAGCTATACAGAAGTCACCAGTAGGATTATGAGAGTGGAGGTGTTAACTCCTTCCTTGTTAATTTCTGTACCTTTCAAAATATCAAATAAACATTTGTTATTTTTTATAATTATATGAAAATAAGATAAATAACTAGAGAAATTGTTCAGTACTCATGGTTCTTAAGCATTGAAACATTTTACTAAAAAATGTTCTGAAATATCCATCCCTGGAGATTATTAGAAATAGAATAGAGACAGATTAGATTGGAAAAGGTCAAGTAAAACTTGCTTAAATAGTGACCTCTACATCTGCCTTCCATTTCATAATGTCTATGATTGACTCTAAGTGTTGTTTAAAACAGTAAAATTGCTATTTAAAGATGCAATAGAAATAGATTTTTGTTTTGGGAACTAGTAAGATTTATAAATGCATACCTTACTGCATTATCAAATAAATCTTTTTTTCTCTTGTTTTCTGAGATTTTCCTAAATTTCAGATTGTCTTTTCCTTTTCTCCCTTTCAATAGATATTTCCTTTGAGAAAATTCAGGACAAATCATCATAAAACCATAATAATAATAGATTGTTTAATGCAAATCCCTATAAGGTACAACTATTGCCATAAAGTGGATAAATGGTCTTAGCCATTAGTTAACTTAAATTTACAAAATGCTGTGCATGAAAAATATTATGAGCCAAAGAAGTCAAAGATTTCCCAATACTCCCATACTACTACACAACGGAAATACAAAAAGAAAAAATGAAGCTCTGATACATACAAAGGTTGAATATTTTGAAATTGTTGGAACTTGGTTGTTTTGACTTAAACAAAAGTCATGTAATTTTTCATGTAATTCAACATAAGGCATGGCTCTTTCAAAAATAATTATTATACAATATCATATTTTACAAAATAAATAGCGTTAAGATAAATATTATACAGATGTGAAATAGGAAATTTTTGTTTGACTCTTTAGCTTTTTTCATGTGGAAATTTTGTTTTATCTTTTCTCTTAGCATTTTAACCAAAAATTGCTTTCTGATAAATCCTAAAAAAATAAGTAATAAAGAGAAAATACATGATTTAATAATTTTATAATAGATATAGATATATTAAAAATTAAAAAAATTAAATAAACCAGGCAAAATTTAGTTTTTATAAATAGGTAATTTGCACTTCCTATGGCATATTTTAGTTTTCAAATCCCAAATGAACCTTGGTTACGTTTCACTTTTCTGGTTATTTTCAGGTCTCTGATACTACTACTGCAAATATATATTTATCAAAACATGGAAATACATACATGCATGAGGATTTGTGTAAGGATTTAATCTAAATTTTTTTTCTGCATTTCTTTATTTCACATGTATATAACCTTAAAAATTTAAAATTTACAAAAGACATTCTAAATGAAAATTCTTAAAAAACAAAGTAAAGATATATTAATTCATTAAAATTTAATGTACTTTAAATATGCAACACAATTCCTCCTACATGGCAAGTAATATTCATAAGTAATGTTATTTTATCTTCAATTCATAGGAAATACATACTATACTTGACTTTGAGATTAACTAAAATTCTTCAGCTAGAGTAAGAGGCTAGAAGACTCAGCTCTTGTAAATTCACATATTGACAGCATCTTGCTTTATTTATAGAGAGGATACTTCTACCTCATCTATCAAAATGGAATCTGATTTCAATTATACTTGATCAGGTTCCTGTATCAAATGTTATTTCTGCCAAAAAGAGAAAGTATCTCAGAATATCTTGGCAAAATTCATACACCATATCAACTCCCGCCAGTACTTCTCAAACTGAAAGCATAAAGCCATTTGTTGACATTTAAATCTCCAAAAACTCAGGACAGGATAGGACACTAAATAAAACCAGGGAAAGGGAATATTGAACACATCCCTGCATTTATTAACCAACTCACCCTTATGACAAAGTTTGGGAACTCCGTTCAATAGCCTTTTTGATTTCCAATCTCCTTACGTTTTCTATTTTCTTCATGTGTGAGAAAAATAAAACAACTCTTCTGCCTGTTCTAAGTGACTCATTGTAATTTCATTACTTCTTTCGCACTATTTTTATTCCTGACATCTTGGTATATCCAAATTCTTTCCCCCCATAGAAATGCTGAAATTAGTCTCTTTCACCAATTACAGCAGGGCACGAGATAATGTCCAATCTCACTATTAAGCCAGAGATAAGCAAAATACCTAATGAAACACAACTCAAATAAAAGAAAGAGAGGGAGGAAGGAAAGAAGGAAGGAAGGAAGGGAGGGAGGGAGGGAGGGAGGGAGGGAGGGAGGGAGAAAGGAAGGGAAGGGGAAGGGGAAAGGGGGAAATGTGTAGGCAGTTTAAGTCTTCTTATTTTACTTGTATGTTGTATATGTGAAAACATCTACATTAAATGAATTACCTCAGACCAAAACTCCTTTATATGAAGCACAAAGATTTATGCAAAGTCATATGAAGTTACAGAATAACAACCACAGCAAACAAAATCAACCATAAAACTCCTTGAACACTTTGTCTGTAGCAGCTATGAGGCCAGAAATATTTTAGTGCAGACCTTTTACTTATCTCTTGCTTAGGTGAATACTGAATATCCAATTTATGCCAAACTGTAAATCCTCTTTCTAGGTTTCCATAGTCTCCACCCTTCTTTTCCTGTGTCCTTCCTCCTTTCGTTAAGATTTTAGCCCTCCCCAATGCCTTCTTGATCTTTTACTGTCTCCTGACCTTCCAGTATCAGTTTATACGTAAGGGCACGTTACCTGTGTAAAATAAACATCAGTCACAATAAGATGTTCCCTGAACCAGGTATTTGTAATTTGAGCCTTTTGATCTCATAAAGGAAGAAGTTATTTTTGTTTTTGATGTTGTATGTTTTTGTTTGAAGTATTTTTTTCTGTTCCTCATCATTCATTGAAAAACTTCTAGTCAACCTCAGCCTAAGAAAGTGAAGATAATTACACTTAGCTGGGCTGAAGAGAATAAGAAAAAAAATTCTATAATTTAAAAATGTTTCTCAATCACAGATCACTTCGATGAGGATTATCTGGAATATCTGTGAAAATGCAGATTACTGTGCTCTATCCCATACCCACTGAATCCTAATCTCCACTGGAATGGTCCAAGAACCTCCACATCTCATGAACAATCCAGATGATTCTCACATATTTGAATATGGAAAACTACTACCTGAGGGCAACTATTCAACTTGTATTCATATAAAAAGGCAATGTCACACTAAAGGCATTTCTTCTAACGTAAACTTTTTCTAAGATTGTGTTTTTCTTTAGTATGTTATTTCTATGTATTCTTTTTGAAGTGTACTGTTTAGTGCAGGAATATTGTTACTAATAATCCTCTCTTGATTAAAAAAATAAAAGAAAGAAGTCCCTCACTGGGTTGGTTTTATAATGGAAAAATGATGTCACTGGCAGCTCTTTTAGCATCTCTGATCTCAATATGTAATGGAAATCAAATTACTGAAAACAAAAGCCATGAAAGGGATTATAAATTAATTTTCTCTTCACTTAAATAAACAGCAAGAGAAAAATTTGTCCTGTGATTAAAAATGACATCATGCTATCTTCTACAAAATAATATCCCCCAAAGTAATTATATTTTTAAAAAATTTTATTTAGTCCTTTATTATTTAAACTACAATAGATTATTTCAAAAGATTCTTCATCTTTTAAATAAAGTTAAATATTACGGATTATACCATCTGGTGCCCAAAGTTGGAGAAATTAATGGGTTATTTGACTTTCTGCTATATTATTTCAAGCTGAAAGAAAACCACTTTATCTGTAATTAATTCCTTAGGTTAAAGAAAAAAACTAGTAAAAAAGATTGTTAAAAGCTTTACACAAAACAAAATGAGCAGAGCTTGAGCAAAGAATGATTTATAAATTGGGCAACTCTCAAAACTGGGAGTTTATTGAGCTCCACTAAGCACTGCAGGCAGGTAGTATTTATAAACAGAAAAAGGAAATGACATTCAGAAACAGCCAATGACATTCAGAAACACCACCGCGTGGTGTTTACCTTATTTGTGCATGGCGTGATGAGATATTTGCCTTATATGGACATGGTCTGATTGGGGGTTGCCAGCCTGTGATTGGCTGAAGCTCTGCTGCTGTGAGTGGCTGAAACTCAAGCTATTTGTTACAAGACTAAACTCTTAAGCTAGGTCGCAGTTGGCTATGTAGGAACTAAAAGTATGGGGGCAGCCTCAGACCAAATTTAGTTTAACAAGTGGTATGCAAGTATTTAGCAAAAATATACCTTCATCAGTTTATACTCAGGCTTCCACTTCTGTTGATTGACTGAAGAAATTACACATACCATTCCTGTTACACGAATTTGAAGAAAGTTAAAAATTCCACATTGCTCTCACTATAGTCTCTAATCATTTGCAACATAGGAAGTTTGTGATTATGACTCTGTGTGTGTGTGTGTCCATGTGTGTGTGTGTGAGAGAGAGACAGAGAGAGAGAGAGAGAGAGAGACAGAGACAGAGAGAGATCGTGGTGGGAACAAAGTAAGTAGGGAGGGGAGAGAGAAGTGAGTTGGAAAGGAGAAAGAAACAGATCTCTTTTCTCAAAGGAAGAAACTATTCAAAATCTGTACACTGAAAGTACTATCATCTCCTCATTCTATATGTGGTCAAAATCAAACTCTTGAATATAATGAAGTATGGACAATAGTGATATCCTAGAGCCATCCCATATGTTTGAAGACAAGGAAGAGGATCATGTGCATAGAAACTTCTCATGTGTTATCAGGGGAGCCACTCCCTGTGCTCTGCAGTGTTTCTATAGCTGGAGCATATATCACCTGCCCCCCACAAAACACACACACACACACACACACACACGTATGCACACAAAGTACACAAGCTGGGAAACAGTTATTTTAAGATCAATCGATAATTTTCTTCTTGGATTATTCCAGTGTTAGAGTCTGTGAAACTTTCTTCTCTGGCTAAATATTTGGGAACAGCTAATTTTACCCAGAGGCAGGTGAACTTAGAAAGGAGTTCCAGAAAGGCTAAAAATTTACCACTGTCTCAAACCAATAAGCTATCTTTAGAAGCAATTTAACACTAGCCCCAGACCTATATATCCCAGATATATAGCAAAGAGAAAATGCAGATGCTAACTGGACCCACATGCCTTATGAGGCAATTAAGTTGTAAGCTGATTGTTTATTGTTATTGCTGCAAGGTCTTTGAAGTTGTCTCAACCTTCCTTCATCCCTTCAACAACCCCAAGCCTCTTTTTGAATTATTTCTTCCAACACATCCCATGTTGGAAGGTTAATGTGTGATTTCTATTTTCAAATGTGCCTTCAATGCTGCATTAATCATGTTGTATTTATTTCCTTAATCTATTCACTATCTCTCCCATTCATTCAAGACAGACAATTACTGTGGCCTTCATGGAGCTTATATTCTACCATAGGAAGACAAATTAAAAATAAGTAAATTATATAATATACCAGAAAGATTTAAGTACTATAAAAACATTAAGTAAGAATGTGGAAATGAAATATATGTTTGTTGGGAGGAAACTATTTCCAAATTTAATAGTTATCTCAGGCACCTAGTTATGTCGACATCTGTGGGAAGTGGGTCAAACAGTGTGAAGGCCCTAAGGAAGAAACACATTATACATGTTCCAAAACATTAAGTGTCCAGTCAGCACGTGGGCCAGTAAGGGGTGATGCCTTAGAGGGAGCAGGGGCTGAGACCATGGAGGTCCCTGTAAGCCCATTGCAAAGCTTTGGTTCATGTTCTGAGTATGAAGGGAAGGCACTGGAGGCTTTGAACACAGGAATGATTTGATCTGACATATGCTTAAATGCTCTATTTGGCTGGTTTTATCAATAAGCAATAGAGGGACCAATGGTGAAAGCAAGGACACCAAGTAGGAGGCTACTGGAATAACCCAGGAGAAGAATAATATAGCTTGAACCAGTGAGGTAGTGGTATAAGTGGGTAAAATATGGTTGGATTTTAGGTGTATTTTGGCTCAGAATTTCATGAAGTATTGAAAATCTGTGAGAAGAGGAGTCAAAAATGCCTCCAATGTCCTTGGCCTGAGTGCTGGCTTTCTTCAAACCCAAACAAGACCAATCCACTCTCATTCTTTGTTGATGACATTACCTTCTATTTCACTGAAAATTTAGAGCACAACTAGCTTAAATTCTTACCAAATGTACGTCACTGCCTTTACCTGTGCTCATATTTCTCTGCCTTTCCTCCTGTTACTATGGATGAACTATCTGTGCTCCTAAGGCCAAACTTCGCATTGGCACAGGACGTCCCATTTCTTCGTGCTTACCTAAGAACATTGCTCCAGGTAATCTGTTCTTTCTCTCTCATCATTTTTTTCCCCCGTTTTTACATGATCTATCTCTTTCACATTCTTTTACCATTTTGATTCCCTCTCTCCCACCAGAGCCTCATTTCTTCCCTCTGGAAACCTATTTATTTACTCTCTTCAGCCCTCTTCTAAAACAGTTGTGCGCATTCATTGTTGGATTCTTCTTTCTCTCACCATTTCATGAACCCACTTCAATTATGTTTCCCCTCTACCACTCCATTGAAACTACTTCTATCAAGGTCCCCAGTTTCTTCCATTTCACTAAGTCCAAGGTCAACTTTCAGTCCATATTCCTCTGATATAACAAGTAAGCATTTCATAATTGGTAACTTCCTCCTTATTGGACCACTGCCTTCAACTGAATCATAACACCATACTCTCCTGATTTTCAAGCTGCTTGATGTCACAATGAATCCTTTCATTATCTGCTGGAACAATGACCCAAACTTAAAGCTATATATAGCTTTGATTTTTTTTTTTTTTTTTTTTTTGAGAAGGAGTCTTGCTCTGTCACCCAGGCTGGAGCGCAGTAGCGTGATCTGGGCTCACTGCAAGCTCCGCCTCCCAGGTTCAGGCCATTCTCCTGCCTCAGCCTCCTGAGTAGCTGGGACTACAGGCGCCCGCCACCATGCCCGGCTAATTTTTGTATTTTATTTAGTAGAGACGGGGTTTCACCGTGCTAGCCAGGATGGTCTCAATCTCCTGACCTTGTAATCCACCCGTCTCTGCCTCCTAAAGTGCTGGGATTACAGGCGTGAGCCACTGCACCCAGCTTATAGCTCTGATTTTTACTGGGACTTTTATTTTGCCTCCTGGTAAGGGAAGGGAACAAAAACTTCTAGACCCATGAAGCTTAAAGTTGTAAAGATGGATATACAAATTCCTCCCAGTTGAGTCACTGAGGATAACGTGAGCAAAACGACTCCTATTTTCATTTTTTGGTTGCATCCAGGACAGCTCCTCTCCTTCATAAGGTGTTGACTCCAACTGTGCTACTCAGCAATTCCTCCAAGATGTTGATCCATAATTTATTTGGCTTCTGGGTGGTACAGGAGGTCATAGGACCATTGCAAATCATGATCCTCACTTTTTAGTCTACTTGTTCCTCTTTTGCTTTTTGATATCTTAATATTAAGGCATCTTTGAGATTCTTCTCAGTCCTTACATCTCTTTATCTACACCCTAGTCATTATAACCAGTCTCATGGCTTTACATACTATATTCTTTTCCAGATTCACATCTCAAGCTTAGACCTTTGCACTTAAATTTATATATCCAGGCTTGGATATATCTAAAGACATCTGAAATGTAATATGTAAAAAACTGAGTTTAGATGTTCCCTACTACCGCCAACAAAACAACAAGAGAAACAATCTGCTTAAAAAAAACACTCAGTTGACAGCCACCACATCCTTCATGACAAAAATCTGAGTCCTTGATTCCTCTTTCTTTCACATACTACATCTAATGTATTAGCAAATCCATGTAGATCCATCCCCAAAAATATATCTATAATCTGCCTAGTTCCTTTCAAGCTCACTACTACTACTCCTTAGATCCAAGTCACTGTCATCTGTCACATGGATTAGATAGCTTTCCAACTAATTTTTCAACTTCCACCCTCTTCCTCTTCAGTCTATTCTCAACATAGCAGCCAGAGTGGATTTGTAAGTCAGATCATTTTTCTCTGTTCAGAGTAAAATTCAAAGTCTTTACATTCAGTGCACAAGTCAAATCAGCCCCTTTTACTCTTCCATTAATGATGCCTGGTATGCTTCCTATCTCAGAGCCTACCTATCTGACATTCTCTAAGCCTGGATCACTCCTCTCTCAGATATCCTCATCACTAGCTCCCTCAGATCCTCAGATGTTTACTGAAATGTCTTCTTCTTAGTGAGGCTTTCGCTGACCACCATACTTAAAATTACCAGCTTTCTCCCCACAAATTCCCAATCCTACTCCGTTGGTTTTTCTCCATAGCACTTATTGCTAACATTCTACATATTTTACTATATTTTTACACTCTACATGTTTGTTTTTTTTAAACTAGAATGTAAGTTTCCTGAGGGCAGGTTATTTGCCTGTTTTGTTCCTTTCTGTATCTTTTATTCCTAGAAGAGAGACTGTATAGTAACTGTTCAATGTATGTTTGTTCAATGGATAAATATTGTTTGTTCAGTGGATAAATAATAAAATACCCTCCCCGAGAAATCAAATGAGGGTTTAGTTTTCTTACACCTCACCCACTACATTCCCTAATATCTTCCTCCCATTGAGTAATATTAAGCATATCATTAACTAACTAATCATTACTAACATTACTGTGACTATCTTAAAACCATTCACTACAGAGACCAACAGTGCACTATGACTGTGTTTCCCTTTTTGTTCAATACTGGAATTTTTGCTGGAGTAAATTACTTATTGTTTTTTCAATTTTCTTACTTATAAAAATATACTAACTAATACCAATTTGTTACCTTCTGCAATGCATCTGTCAAGCACCTATCCATATTATCATCTGAATGCTCACATAAATCAATGATCTATCATTGCTTTGTCTCTTTTTCATTTCCCTAAGATCTGCTCCCCAAAGTCTTATCTTCTTGCTCCAATTTGAACAGAATATTTCCTGAGCCTGTTGCTCAGCTGTCATTCTAGAATTACCTACAGTCTTCATCTTAGTTTTGGTTTACCACTTTGTGGTTTGGAATCTCCTGTTTTCCTGATAACCTATCTTCTTTCATCTTTGTTAACTTTATCATTTTGCTGGAGTCAATCCTTCAATAATTTCCTATGCTAAAATTCAATGGGAGGTTTAATCCTTGCATGCAATTGTTCTATTCTTATACTTGATTGGGAGTTTCGCTGGGTAAAGAATTACAAGATGAAAATGCTTTTCTCTCCAAATTATGACATCATAACTCACTCTCTTCTATCTTCTCAATGATACTGTTAATGACATTATGATTCCCTATTCTTTGTATGCCTACCTGACTGTTTACTTTGGAAATATTCAGTAGATACTTTAGTCTGTATTCTAAAATTTCACAATTATGTGCTTTGGTGTCATTTATTATTATTATTTTATTTACATAATGAAGCTTTCCACCGACCCTTTAATTTGAAAAGTCAAGTCCTTCATTTCTGGAAGTATTTTTCTATTTCCTGTTTGAATAATTCTTCTCATCTGTTTTCTTTGATCGTCCTTACTAAAATTTTTATCACACCATTAGATTTCTTGGTGTTTTGTATTCTTTTATGAGATGGTCAGTCAAGAGAAGACAGGAAAGAGGTTCAGGAAAACAAAGTTTATTACACCAAGAGGTCTTAAACACAAGAGGCGCAACATGAGAAATACACCAGTGCAGCCAGATGGAAGAAGACAGAATCAAGGGGGAGGTCTAGGCCCGAGTCTTTATTATGGTTTCATGGGGAAATGCAAGGCAGGGTGAACAATTTAGGATTGGATAGTGAGACAATGCAGGGAACCCTACTTAGGGGAATGCAGCTCCCCTCCCTGCACAAAGCATGGAAATAAAAGAAAATCGTGAGTTCTTTCAAGTGAAATTCCAAGCACCTAGCTAGCCCTGAGAACTAAGTAAGCAACTTGATAAACTAGAACGTAATAGTAGCCTGAAACAGTAGCCAAGGAAGCTAGAATTGTTAGAGTAGATAGTCAGACATAAGCAGAACAGGGGAGAGGCCCTACCTCTCCCCTTTTTCCCCCACCAATAGGAATAGGAATGTCAGGCAACCATCAGGTAATGGTCAGGCAATTGTTAAATTGTCTCTCTAAAATAGTAATTGGTTGCAGCCAGCACCAGGGAAAGGCAGTCTCCCAACAGATTAAAAAAAAACAAAACAAACAAAAAAACACCTGAAACTGCTGAGCAGCAGCTTCCTGAAAAGATCTCAGGAGTTGGGTGAGTGGGCTCAAGCATGCACACTAAGATGCAAAATGGCAGAGTTTATCTGGTATATGAACTTCCTCCAGGAATACTTGACTGGTAAAGGAAAAACAACTCAAGTGAGCATGTGTAAAACTCCAGTAAACACACTGTGCATGCAGCCCCTCCCAAGTGTTGGTAGGCCACTATTCATGCGACAGCCCACCTCAAGGGAAGAATCAGGGAAGAAGTAATGCAAGACCCCAGAAACACGCCAACGCATAAAGCCCCAAGTCAAAGGTCAAACAGCATGCTTGAAGCTCTCAAGTCACCTGCTTGACCCACTTACAAGTATACTTTCCTTCCTTTCGTTTCTGCTCTAAAACTTTTTGATAAATGTTTACTCCTGCTCTAAAACTTGCCTTGGTCTCTCATTCTGCCTTATGCCCCTTGGCTGAATTCTTTCTTCTGAGGAGGCAAGAAATCAGGTTACTGCAGACCTGTAAGGATTCACCACTGCTAACACAATCAGCAGATGCTTGGTTTCCCTATATGGAGTAAAGATAGCATCTTCAAGTATGTCTCTGAGTTGTTTTCAGAAACCCCAACCTCCGTTAAACAGATCTAATGGCACATGGGCCTCAGATAAGGGGGAATGGGGGACTGAACTCTGACCAACATTCTTTGTTTTAAATTTCCTCCTGAGGTGCCTGGAGAAAGTCACACCCATGAGCCAGGCTAACATTCGTTTCTGCTGACCCTAATTTTTTAAACAAAGCTTTTCTTCCTAAACAAATTGAAAATCAGAAAATATTTGAATCTACCTACGACCTGTAAGCCCCAGCTTCAAGATATCCCACCCTTTTAGGCCAAAACCAATGTGTAACTTCCACGTTTTGATTTACAACTGTGCTTGTAACTTCTGCTTTCTGAAACTTACCCTTGCCTTTAAAAACCCTTACCTTAAGCCATCAGAGAGGCCAGGATTTAAGCATTAGCTGCCAGATCCTCCTTGTTAGGCACCCTACAAAGAAGCACTTTCCTGTATCTGGCTGCAAACCTCAGTGTGACTATCTGGTCTTACTGCACTGGGCGGATGAATCCCAGTTCAGTTCCATACCTATAGCGTGAATAATTTCTGTGGACTCTAAACTATAGAGGTGGTCCCTAGTTGCCTGGTATCTGTTCCTGGGATTATTAAAGCAGAGGAATATTGACTTCTGAGGGCCTCAGGCCAAATAGAGGAGGTATGACTCTGGATTGGTTAGTCTGCATAACAAAGACATGTTCCTGGTTGAGCCCTTTGCTGTCTCTAATTGGCTAGCCCCAGGAAAGGCAGTATCTCCCAGGCAGAAAGGTTGGGGTTTTCTTTGGAGGGGGGGGAGGGTTTTTTTTAAGATGTCAAAATATAATATAGAAAAAAAAAATATATATATATATGTACTCTCTCTCTCTATCTATCTGTCTATCTATACCTGGTCTGATCTTTTAATATTCTGATATTCTCTCATCTGTTTTCTGCCTCTTTTTCTTTTCCATTTCTCTTTCTGGGGGAATATCTGCCATTATTTTCCAAAATTTCTGGCACTCAATTTTAATTTTCAAAGTGTTTTTACTGGTTATTTTTTATTTTCATGGCTTCAGATCTTGATTTATGGATAAAATACATTATGGGGATAGTAATTCAAGTTTTCCTTATTTATCCCAGATCTACTCTTCTATTTGTTTGTTTTGATCTCTTTGTCTCAGTGGAGGCTCTCCTAGAATATATGGTTATCTTTGTTTGCTCATTCGTATTTAAAAGTAAAGCATTAAGAACCTACTGGAAGTACTGTATTTGGAGTATTTGGAGGTGGTGATTGTTCACTTGGGGCTTCACTGTAAGATCTTAATGTGAAGCCATTTTTTTTCCTTTCTTTACTTCAGGGGTCCTTCTATGTCAGCATTTAAAGGCTGTTTTTTCTGTGATTATTAAAAGAAGATGCCTACTCTTTCTTACCTTGGGGGACATAGACCCTATTGCCACCTGATATTTTGAAATTTTATTAGTAAGAAAAAAGGGCTGATGTTCCCACTTTCAGACTGGCTCTTAATTCCCATTTTTAGAGATGTCATTTGGCCCTGCAGTATCTACTGTGGTTAATGTTTCTTCAACAACCAATCCGGATGAAGCCACTCAATCACTATAAACTTTCCTCTTAATACTGCTTTTGCTGTATCCCAGAGGTTTTGGTATGTTGTATTTCCATTATCATTTGTTTCAAGAATGTTTCAATTTCCTTCTTAATTTCTTCATTCACCTACTGTTTGCTCATTCATGAGCAAATTGCTTAATTGTTGTGTGTTTGTATAGTTTCCAAAGTTCCTCATTACTGATTTCTAGTTTTATTCCCTTGTGGTCAGAGAAGATATTTGATGTTATTTACATTATTTTTTAATGTTTTAAGACTTGTTTTGTCAGTGAGAACACATGGACACAGGAAGGGGAACATCACACTCTGGGGACTGTTGTGGGGTGGGGGGAGGGGGGAGGGATAGCATTAGGAGATATATCTAATGCTAAATGACGAGTTAATGGGTGTCGCACACCAGCATGGCACATGTATACATATGTAACTAACCTGCACATTGTGCACATGTACCCTAAAACTTAAAGTATAATAATAATAAAATAAAAAAAAAATACACAGGAAAGTTATCACGGGTTACATACAGGGAAGGCAATTCGGCTAGATGCAGTGCTGCAATGGGCTTGTAATCTTGTTAAGACTATTGTTTCCAACACATGGGACACAATAGAAAGCAATTTACAACAGGCTAGGTCTGGTTGGTATAATGATGCAGGGGAAACACAAAAGAATAAAAAAAAAAAAAAAAAAAAAAAAAAAAAAAGACTTGTTTTGTGACCTAACATGTGATCTATCCTTGACAATGATCCATGTACTAAGGAGAAAATGTGTATTGTGAAGCTGTTAGATGAAGTGTACTGTAAGTTTCTATTAGGTTCATTTGTTTTATAGTGCAGATTAAGTCTGATGTTTCTTTGTTCATTTTCCGTCTGGGAGATCTGTCTGATACTGAAAGTCGGGTATTGAATCTGCAACTATTATTGCATTGGGATCTATTTCTCTCTTTAGCTCTAAAAATATTTGCTTTATATGTCTGGGTGCTCAATTGCCGGGTGCATATACATTTAAAATTGTCATGTCCCTTTGCTTAATTGACCCCTTTATAATTATATAATGACCTATGTTGTCTCTTATTGTTCTGGTCTTAAAATCTATTTTGTCTGATATAAGTATATCTGTTCCTGCTTTTCTTTGTGTGTATTGGCCTGGAATGTCTTTTTCCATGCCTTTATTTGTAGTCTATGTGCCTCTTTAGAGGTGAAGTGTGTTTCTTGTAAGCAATAAATAATTGAATCATGTTTATGCATCTATTCAGCCACTCTATGTCTTTTGATTGCAGATTTTGGACCATTTACATTCAACGTTATTATTGAAAGACAGGGACTTACTCCTGTTATTTTATCATTTGTTTTCTGGTTGTTTTGTGGTCTTCTCTCTCTTCTTTTCTTCCTTCCTACTTCCTATCTTCGTTTTAGTAAAGGCGATTTTCTCTGGTGGTATGCTTTAATTTCTTGCTTTTTATTTTTTGTGTAATAAAAACTCTACATTTTGACTTCATCTCCCCTACTTTTTAACTGTTGTTTCTCCTTGTGTCTTATTGTACTGTCTATGTCTTGAAAAGTTGTTGTAGTTATTATTTTTGATTGGTTCATCATTTAGTCTTTCTACTTACATCAAGATGTTTACATACTGAAATTACAGTGTTATACTATTCTTGTTTTCCTGTGTGCTTACTATTTCCAGTAAGTTTTGTACCTTCACATGATTTCTTATTGTTCAACCTTTTTTTTCAGATTGAAGAACTCCATTTAGCATTTTTTTGTAGAACATGTCTGGTGTTGATGAAATCCCTGTTTTGTTTGTCTGAGATCTTTATTTCTTTCATGCTTAAAGGATATTTTCACCAGATATACTATTCTAGGGAAAAGTTTTTTCTTTCGGCAATTTAAATACATCATGCCACCCTCTCGCGGCCTGTAAGATTTCCACTGAAAACTCTGTTGCCATATGTATTAGAGCTCTGTTGTATGTTGTTTGTTTTTTCTTCCTGCTTGAAAAATCCTTCTTTATCCTTGACTTTTGGGAGTTTGATTATTAAATGCCTTGAGGTAGTCTTCTTTGGCTTAAATCTACGTGGTGTTCTGAAACCTTCTTATATTTGAATGTTGATATCTTTCTCTAGGTTTGGGAAGTTCTCTGACATTATCCCTTTGAATAATCTTTCTACCCTCATATCTTTCTCTTTCTTCTCTTTAGGGCCAAAAACTCTTAGAATTGCCCTTTCGAGGCTATTTTCTAGATTCTGCAGGTATGCTTCATTGTTTTTTTTGTCTTTCTCTCTCTCTTTTTTTTTTGTCTCCTCTGACTGTGTATTCCCAAATATCCTGTGTTTAAGGTCACTAATTCTTCTGCTTGATCAATTCTGCTACTAAAAGACTCTGATGTATTATTCAGCATGGCAACTGCATTTTTCAACTTTAGAATCTCTGCTTGACACTTCTGAATTATTTCAGTCACTTTGTTAAATTTATCTGATAGAATTCTGAATTGTTTACTCTGTGTTATCTTGAATTTCTTTCAGTTTCCTCAAAATGCTATTTTGAATTCTGTCTCCAAATGGTCTAAACAAATTCTGTTTCTCCAAGATTGGCCTCTCAGTGCCTTATTTAGTTCATTGAGTGAGGTCATGTTTTCCTGGATGGTGTTAATGGTTGTACATGTTCTTTGGTGTCTGGGCATTGAAGAGTTGGGTATTTACTGCAGCCTTCACAGTCTGGGCTTGTTTCTGCCTGTCCTTCTTGGGAAGGCTTTCCAGGTATTGAAGGGACTTGGGCCCCAAGCCCAAGAACGCTGTGGTTTTTGCAGACTCATAGAGATACCATTTGGTGGTCTTGGATAAGATCCGAGATAATTCTCTAAATTACCAGACAGATTCTTGTTATTTTCCTTTACTTTCTCCCAAACATACAGAGTCTCTGTGTGCTGAACCACCTGGCACTGGGAATGTAGTGATGCAATCACCCCTGTGGTCCCCACCACTGGAACTTCACTGGATCAGACCAGAAGCCAGCACAGCACTGGGCCTTGTCCAAGGCCCTTCCCTTCAGGGTGGCAGGTTCCTCCAGGCCTTAGGCATGCCCAGAAATGCTGTCTGGGAGCTGGACATTCAAGTCAAAACCCTTACCAATTTACCTGATGTTCTATTCTACTGAGGCCAAGATGGCATGCAAACCACAATATAAAGTCCTTCCTGCTCTTCTGTCTTCATTCCACAGGCAGAAGAGCATCTCCCTGTGGTCACAACTATCCCCAGTGCATGGAGGTGGGGCATTCTGCCAGGCCATCACCAATGTTTGCTTAAAGGCCAAGAGCTCCTCTGTCAGCTTGTGGTGAATGCTGATAGACCTTGGACTCACCCTTCAAGGTAGTGGGATGCCCTCTGACCCAGAGAAGATCCAGTAATGTATCCAAGATCCTAGTCTGTACGCAGTGCCCCCAGGAGCCTGGTTGTTCCTCTACCCCACTATGGCCAAGTTGGTAGCTAGGATGCAAAACAAAGTCCCCTTTACTTTTCCTTCTGCTTTTCTCAAACAGAAGAAGTCTTTTGCCATAGCCACCAGAGCTGGGAATGTGCTGGGGCTCCCTTGAAGCCAGTATATCTCTGAACTTGAGGCTCAAGGCATGCTCCCTGGCTATTGCTGGTAGTTATCCAGGGCCCATGAGCTCTTCAGTAAGCACTTCATCAATCCTGCCAGGACCAGGTCTTTCTCTTCAAGGCAGTGGATTACCTTTTGGCCCAGGGTGTGTCTAGAAATGCCATTCAGGAGCTAGGGACTGGAATGGGGTCCTCATGACTATGCCCAGTGTCCTATTCTACTGTGGCTGAGCTGGCATCCAACAGGCAAGACAGAGTTTCTCTATTCTTCACTCTTCCCTCCTTAAGCAGAAAAATGAGTTCACTTTTGTTCGTACAAGCTGCACTGCCTGGGGTTGGGGGAGGAATGACACAAGCCCCCCCTTAGCCATGCCAGCTGGTGTCTCCCTAGGTCATGTGCTACTCTAATTCACCAGCTCTAAGCCCAGTCTAGCACTGGGAGTTGCCTAGGAATTAGAGTCCTTTTATCCTAGACTGCCTTTCAAGTTTATCTAGGACCCCAGAGCACTTCAGCCCACGATGACAAGGCCTCCTGAGAAACTCAAGTTTCGACCACTGGGAGAGCAATTTACCTCTTGCTAGGGTTGGTCCAAATATTCCCTCCATGTGCGGATGAGCGCATGCTGACTGAGCACAGCACAGCTTTATTCTCCACTATAACATGGCAGCGCTGAGTTCAGTGTAAAATCCCCCAGTGCCTGTACTTTCTCTCCCCAAAGTGCACAGATTCTCTCTCCACACTGCAGGCCTACTGCCAAGAGATTAGAAAGGGATATGTTGGTGCTTCAAGACTGTCTGTCCTGTTTTCCTGAATGCTTCTTTCCACAATGTGAAATTAAAACCAGGTACTGTGATTGCTCACCTGATTTTTGTTTCTTGTGACAGTGCTTTTCTGTGTACAGATGGTTGTTAAAATTTGGTGTCCCAGTGGCAAGGATGAATGGTGTAGGCTTCTATTCTTCCATCTTGCTTTGCCTCCACCTTTCCTTAGATTTGATTCAAAACAGGCACACGTTTTGAAACTGTTAGATTTGTTCATTTGTGGAACCAACAACCAAAGAAAATTAGCCCTAAATTTTTTAAATTGCTCAATTCTATCATTTCCACTATTATGTACCATTGCACCATTAGTCTCTCAAAGAAAGTCTTATTTGAATGATTTCCAAGAGTTCAAAAATGGGCCTGAGATGGTGATGTCAAGTATTTCATAATAGTGAATTAATTCTCATCTTAAAAAATACAGAATCTACTATTTTATTCCAAAATTAGAAGCAGAAGTCAATTTTGCTCCAGGGTACCATAGGAATTCATATCAGTACATCAGGTTGTCAACAATCTCACACTTCGTCTATCATATTTGGGGGAAAGTCCTCAGGTTTAAAATTCCCTTGTTGAAGAAGGTAATTTTCCTGCAGTGAAGAGTCTGGATGGTGTATTAGTCAGGGTTCTTCACAGGGGGTCAGAACCAATAGTATTAGTCCGGGTTCTTCACGGGGGGTCAGAACCAATAGGAAATATGTCTACATCAAAGGGAGTTTATTAGGAGGAATTGGTTCACATGATTAGAAGGCAAAGTCCCACAGTAGGCTGTCTGCAAGCTGAGGAAGAGAGAAGTTGGTAGTGGCTTAGTCCAAGTCTGAAAGCTTCGACACCAGGAAGTTGACAGTTCCCTGTGAAGCCAACAGTGCAGCCTTCAGTCTGTGGCCAAAGGCCCAAGAGGCTCCTGGAAGCCATTGGTGCAAGTCCCAGACTCCAAAGACAGAAGAACCTGGAGTCTGATGTCTAAGGGCAGGAAGAGTGGAAGCAAGCATCCAGTATGGGAAGAAGAAAGAGAGTCAGAAAGAGCCACACTTATTCCTCTTCTTCCTTCTGTTTTGTTGTAGCTGTGCTGGCAGCCTTTGGAAGGTGCTCTGAGGGTGGGTCTTTGTCTCCCAGTCCACAGACTCAAATGTCAGTCTCCTCTGGCAACAGCCTCACAGACACACCCAGTTCTTTACCAGCCACCTATGCATCCCTCAACCCAATCAAGTTGACACCTCATATTAACCATCACAGATGGTCATATGTTTACTATGTGAAATGAGTATACAAAATAGATCCAAGAAAAAAAAATTGTCTTTGATTAGGAAAGCTTTGGAAAGGGCTCTTCTTTTCTTGGTCTTTGTTTATTATTTATCATTTTATAAGAAATAAATGGATGAGTAAAATTGAAATGTAAACTTATTCAAGGAAGTCTCTGTTTTTAGGTATTTGCCTGGGTTTTGTTAATGAATATTTTGAACTAACAGAGACATTTTTGTGGTGATTATTTCCAGAATTTCCCCTGAATTACAAACAACCTTGCTTAGACCTTGACTTGAAGACATCTATGTGTAACTTGCCTTCAATATATGAGGTTCATACTTTGCCTATTTCATTAGTACATGATAATGCTATTCTTTTGTGAGACAGAAATCTTGAGTTCATTACAAGATACATGCTTAATAAATTAATAATAAGATCACTTGGGAATTATACTCAATGCTGAAGTCTTATATTTTAATAATGTAAATCATGTACTTGGCATGCTTTCATATAATCAGGTCTTAATCAGGCATGAAAAGAATAAATACCTAATTTGAAGGCTGATTTTTGAGCCACAGATGTATTTGTGTAATGCTCACAGCCTGATTTGAACACCTACCTATGAAATGACAGAGAATCATTGAAGTAGATTTCTTTGTTTCACCTTGAAGCTTTTCAGAATGTATAACTTTGACAATCATAAGAGAAAAAGAAACTGAGTTTGATTTGTGACTTTTATGTTATAGTTAAATAGCAACATGGTTCTTGAGTTCACTGGGGACTTGTAGGCCACTCTATCACTTTCCCATGCTGTCTGACATCTTAAAGGAAAGACAAAGAGTAGATGAAAGAAAGTACATGAACCGAGAACTCCAAGGAGAGTACCAAACGATGTTGACTTTCAAGGAAGGTGAAATATTATTTCTATGTAGATTTTTCTGATAAAATTCTGCCTTTCTAGTAACTCAGCACTTGATCGAGTAATCTGTCATTGTGCCCCCACAGTGATATTTTACCCAAATGCAGTGTATCATAAGAAAAACTAATTAATTTTGACTTCTCTGCATCTGTCCCCAGAAGACTCAGGTCTCTTGTTTGCATGGAATAATTAAAGAAAAATAAAATTTCCCCAAAGAGAAGAACTTTTGGTTCTGTTACTGTAAAACATAGAAATAAAATAATTTGTTACCTTGGAAAGAAATGAACTGCAAACTCTTTCCATCTGTTTATTTAGGAGGGAAGGCAGGTTACTTCATGCTCACTGCCATACATGATTAGCTTTTTTGCTCTGGCTTCTGCAGTATGGAGGATTATTCATCTATCAACAGCTTCACACACCAGGCCTGGCTATGCCTATCCTTACTACAGGATGGGCAAGTCATGTATGATGCCCAGAGTTGTAGGCAATAATGTTATCTAACCAGGCAAATTTGTTACATGTTAGCTGCAGCTCAGAGGGAGACATGAAAATTTAAACCTCCTAGGCAAGAGGCAATCACTGAATCTCCAGCCCAAAGCTTGACATGTCATCCCCAATCAATCAGTTGTAAGGGATCACAGAATATTTTCTAGGCTTTTATTCTGGAAGAGGTTAGAGACTGAGTATTACTTGAAGAAACCAGAGCTTATCACAAATTCCATCAACATCACTTTTGCAAGTAGGATAACAAATGAGTAAACTTTGTCATGGGTGGCCAAAGTCTTGTTAATTGGACAGAGGACTTACAGGTTGGGTAAAAGATAAATAATTATTCAAATTAGAAGCAGTTTCATAAAATTAACATTGACTTTGTAAAAAATACCTTTGAAAAGCTCTAATCCACTTTCACCAAGTCTCATGAATTGCAGGACTTTCTGGAATTGTTAATTTAAGATAATTGCAGCACTTTGGGAGGCCGAGGCAGGTGGATCACAAGGTCAGGAGATCGAGACCATCCTGGCTAACACAGTGAAACCCTGTCTCTACTAAAACTACAAAAAATTAGCCGGGCGTGGTGGCACATGCCTGTAATCCCAGATACTCAGGAGGCTGAGGCAGGAGAATCATTTGAACCTGGGATACAGAGGTTTCAATGAGCCAAGATCAAGCCACTGCACTCCAGCCTGGGCAACAGAGCAAGATTCTGTCTCAAAAAAAGATAATAGGAAAGGTTTATGAAACTAATGTCTTTGATTTACTTTTTATGCTATAAATAAAATGTATACAAAACAAACTTATCACTCACATTCAGAATGATTGGCAAGAGTGAATACAGAAGGATTAAAAATAAAATTACCCTGCACGTTTCAAAAGAATAAAAAGAATTTTTAAAACATGTTAAGCATTCTTATTGAGACTGGCAATGACTTGGGATAATCAGTTTTGACTTGAAAACAGATAGCAGGTTAACAATTTTTTGTCTTCACATTCTGAAACTCATAAAGAGAAATGTGAGATCTCTGAATGACGAAATTTTATCATTTCAGTCAAATCATACTTGAGAAAAAATATAGTGCTTTTGATATTGCTGTGAACAGCTGAATTACAGGAAGGTTTGGTATTAAAATTCTCTTTCTTCTATATGTCACTTTTCCTTCATAGCTTAAACATGAAATAAATTTCCAGGCCTTCAAATAATTGAACAAAACATCATATGTCTTGCTTAGTGGACAGTGTTTTCGGTTTTTCTGTTCTTAATTTTAGCTGCATTTTATCAGGTGGGGCCTCATACCTGTGGAACCTCATTCGTTTGCTTTTGCTCACAGAACCAAGGACCCACTAAATGAATGTAGAAGGGAAACTAGAAATCAATGTTGGCAATATATAAACCAAGCACAGTTACAGGATATGTTAACTTCCAAAGACAAAAAATTGAAGAAAAGCCATGAGAATTTTTGGCTATCTGCCTATTTGGGAGATATGACAGGGAATATAACACATTCTACCTATATTCTTTTGTTTTGGGATTTAACATTAAATTCTGTACTCTTTTTTTTTTTTTGATAAGGAGTCTTGCTTGTTCTATCGCCCAGGCTGGAGTACAAGGACGCAATCTTGGCTCACTGCAACCTCTGCCTCCTGGGTTCAAGCGATTCTCCTGCCTCAGCCTCCCGAGTAGCTGGGATTACAGGCACCCACCACCGCACCTGGATAATTTTTGTATTTTCAGTAAAGATGGGGTTTCACCATGTTGGCCAGGCTGGTTTTGAACCCCTGACCTCAGGTGATCTGCCTGCCTCAGCCTCCCAAAGTGCTGGGATTACAGGCGTGAGCCACTGTGCCCGGACTTAAATTCTGTACTCTTAAGTAAAATGTTTCCAAGGCATTTTCCTGTGGATTTTGGAGTGTGCCTCAACTCACCATAAGCTGAGTGTACAACCATTCAACAAGGTACAGGGGCAGATACAGCTGTGCTATGTTAAGGTAATATACTAAGCTGAGGGATTATTTGTGGTCCCATTACTTTTTAACCCATTCACAGATAAGAGAAGGCCCAGTCTAGCTCCAGGATAGAATTTTTAAAACATTGTGCAGAGAGGAGTAAAAAAATAGAGCCTGTTTTCAGCTTCTGCCTTTCAAAATTGATATTGGAAACACAAAATGGGGCAATTATGTTAAAGTTTTTGAATCTCAGAAGGCTAGATGCTGAGGAAATCAAAGCATAAAATTAATGTCAAAAGAACATATTTGGAAGAATTTAAAAAATATAAGAGCAAGTTTTTACTACTCCAGTGATGAAAAAAAAATTCCTCTGAACTGGAAGTGAAGCATCAGTGAGGAAAACGGTCATGTGTGAGGGGGTGCTGTGGGCTCTGAGAAGAGGTTAGAGTGGGCAGCAGATCCCTTTCCAGGTTTGGGGTCCAAAAGTCGAGGACCCCTCGTGATCCCTGGAGATGGCAGCCCTGCAAGACTCCACCCACTACAGTGTGCAAGCTTCAGCATAAAGATGGCTGCATGCATGACAGTGCTAGAGAGTTTCTCATAATCCCAGTGGGGTATAGTAGAGCAAGTAAACATTCACAAACCTCCAAACAGAGTGGAATTTAGATAAGAAAGAGTTGGTGAGCTTGGAGAGGCCTCATAGTACAGATGACAGGTCTGTAGAAACAAACACAGCCATCACCAAAGATGAAACAGGGAACTGAAGTCCAGCACATCATCATGGTGAGTCAACAGTGACTGTGGACTAGAGGAGACATTTCAGCAGATGCAAGCATGGAGCAGTGCCACACAAGGCCCACAACACTCTGTTTTTATGCTCTGTGATCCTCCAGAATTTAGATATAACCTAGGACAAGGGGAAGAGGGAAGGTCTTGAACTACTCAAGATGAAGGAAGTGTTAGAGTTTTATGGAAAGGATATTAAAATATGAAGAAAGTTCAGTCATAGAGAATATATTTCTCCTGAAACTGAAGTTTTGGCACACATGTGTTTGTGTCCCAAAATTTCACACCACTTTATATATGAAAGACTAACTTCAGCAAGATTAATTGCTGTCTAACTAGATACAGGAAGCAATTCCTAAAGTTTCAAAATTATAGAGATACAGGAAAAGGTTGACATCTGAGGAAGAAAATTGTGCTGTTTTCATTTATATAAAGTCTTTTCTATAAATGGTTACTTAACATATTTGCTCATCTAACACAGAGTTTAGCAATCTATGGCCCCTGGACCAAATCTGGCCCACAAGTTGCCTATTTCATTATAATTCACCAGCTAAGAATTAGCTGAGTATGTTTAAAGGATTAAAAACAAACCAAAAGAATAATAGTATCCTGTGATATTTGAAAATTATATTAAATTCAAAATTTCAATGCCCCCAAATAATGTTTTATTGGAACATGGCCAAATCTATGTGTTTATATAAAGTAGCAGTTTGCTACAATAGCAAAGTTAAATAGTTGCAACAGACCATATGACCCACACAAATATTTGCTACCTATCCATATATAGAATTAATTTGAAAACCCATGGACTAGTAGCAAACTTCCTGGCTGAACAGAGTCAGAGGACCCAGAATGCACCAACCAACTCTTAAAATACATTTGTTAGAATTCCCTAGTGGTTGCATATTAAATTAATTAAACCCATGCTTCCTTGAGTGAGCTACTGTGTGGAAAGGCCTTAGGTGAAGAATCTAAGTGATACATAGTGGTCTTCTCATTTGTGATTTTGCATAACCTGAAACTAGAGCTCTAGGTACTGCTAGTATTTTCTTCTATGGGTTCAATATTAATATTTTATTTTTTATTAAAATAAAATATTCTATTCTATTCAATGTATTTATCAATTAAAGTTAAAAAGTTACACCACTTTATAAGTAAAACCAGTACATTGTAATTATGCCTTGTTTGCCACTGAAATAAAGACCTACATTATTTTTTAAATGCCAGTATTTCTCCGTGATCAGTAATAGATAAATGCTTTGAGTTTTTTGTGTCCAATAAAATAACAGAAGTAATAATTAGAATTTATTGCATTCCTTCCATGTGTTAAGCATTTTAAATGCATATTTTCACTTAATTCTTATCACAACAGGTTAGTGCCATACCCACTCTATAAATGAGAAAATTTGAGCTCAGGGAGAAAAAGGAACTCGCTCATAATTATCAGTCATAAGCGGCAGATCCCAGACCCAAACATTAGTCATCTCTGCTTTCTCCACTGAACCATATCATGTTTCTTTATAATTTGTAGTGTATTTCTAATTTCTTCACATATCATTCACTCTTTCCTATTCAGTCTTCTTTTTGACCAAAAGCTCACATTTACAAGGTGGTTAAGGAGAGCCAATTGGTGACCTGCAAATTTAATTCTCTGAGTGAAGACCCTGGGTAGGACCTGAGCTCACAGCCTTGCCCCTTCCACACCATGTTTGTAAGAACTGCTTCCTTGGGCAGTAGCAGCAGTTTGTGTTGCCCATTGACTTCCTGTGATGACAGTTTGGAATATGGCAAATAAAGTACTTACTGTGATTTGTTTTGTGACTTCTACACAAAATTTTCCTGACCTTTGCTCACAGAGATGGTGCCACCATCGTTCTTTCAAAAAGGATAATTTGACTGAAAAAATTAATGAATATGCCTGTCTTTTGACTGTAAACATGAATTCTGGCTTCTCTTTGCTGAACATTTTCATTTTTATAACCCCATTTCTTTGATCCCCAGTCAGCATATTCCAGGCATGACAGGGGTCAATGTTCTTTTAAAAATTCACTACTTCAAAATGAAGACAACACAATAATTGCAACCTAATTTTCGAAGTTAGCCAACTTATTAGCCCATCTGAAAAAAAAACTCAACTGATAATTATTTTCTTCCTCACTCATACCTCCCAAAATTGAATTTGCCAGTCTCTGTTGGTGCATTTGAAACTTTTCTCTCTGCCAAATTGAGATTTTAAAAATGTGTTAATAACTACTTCCATATTTGAGGCTTTATAACATCTCACATATTATTGATGCTTAAAAATAAATATTTCATGGCATCCTCTGAATACTTTTGTGATCTTCCCAAATATGTTTAAATAAACAATTGGATTCAGTTCAGAAAAAAAGTTGAACAATGAGTAAATTTCATGTGCACAGCAGGTACAAAATGAAGATGATATCATTCCCATCCTGCAGGAGCTTTGCTAGTCAGAGTGGTAGTAAGGTAAAAATGAAGATGAAAGATGAAAAATGATGCAATGTTTATTCTCAAGTATGCTGCATATTACTTGAATTTTGTCCCCTCAAAAAAACACAGTGAGGTCCTAACCCCTCGGTACCTGTGAATGTGGCCTTATTTGAAAAACAAGGTCTTTGCAGATGTAATCACATTAAGACAAAGGCATTATAGTGGGTCCTAATCCAATATGGCTAGTACACTTTTAAAGGGGGGAAGTTTGGACACAGACACATAAGGGGAATGCCATGTGAAGTCAGAGACACACAGAGAGAACATTAAGTAAGGACAGAGATTGGAGTCATACTGTCACAAGCCGAGGAACACCTGGGTACTTTCAAAAGCTGAAAGAGGCAAGAAAGGATTTTCCCCTGGAGACTTCAGAGGAAAAGTGGCCCATCCAGTCCCTTGACTTTGGACTTCTTGCCTCCAGAACTGTGAGAGAATAAATTTCTTTTTTATTTTTAACTTTTATTTTAGGCTCTGGAGTACACGGGGGTTTGTTATATGGGTAGACTTGTGCCATGGGGGCTTATTGTACAGATTATTTTATCACCCAGGTACTAAGCCTAGTACCCAGTTGTTTTTTTCTGTTCTTTTCCCTCCTCTCATTCTCCACTCTCAAATAGGCCCCCATGTCTGTTGTTCCTTTCTGTGCTCATATGTTCTCATCATTTAGCTCCCACTTACAAGTGACAACATGCGGTATTTGGTTTTCTGTTCCTGCATTACTTTGCTAAGGATGTTGGCCTCCAGCTCATCCATGTTCCTGCAAACAACATGATCTCATTCTTTTTTTATGGCTATGTAGCATTCCACAATGTATATGTACCACCTTTTCTTTATCCAGTTTACCATTGATGGGCATTTAGCTTGATTCCATGTCTTTGCTATTGAGAATAGTGCTGTAATGAACAAACATGTACATGTGTTTTTATGGTAGAACAACTTATATTCCTTTGGGTATATATCCAGTAATGGGATTGCTGGGTCAAATGGTATTATTGTTTTTAGCTCGTTGAGGAATTGTCACACTGCCTTCCACAATGATTGAACTAATGTACACTCCCACCAACAGTGTATATGCATTCCTTTTTCTCTACAACCTCTCCAGCATCTGATATTTTTTGACTTTTTAATAATAGCCATTCTGACTGGTGTGAGATGGTATCTCATGAAGGTTTTGATTTGAATTAAGAGAATAAGTTTCTGTAGTTTTAACATGCCCAGTTTATGATACTTTATTACAGCAGCCCTAAGGACCAATATTGTGGAATATGCAAGTCTTCAGACATAAATGACTATGGTAAAAAGTGAGTGCTCAAGATTCTAAAGGTGGTATAAAAAATGTGAGGAAGACTCAGAATTGGGAATCAGATAAAGGTTTCTGGGGCACAGACACAAGATCTAGACATGCAGGAATGATAAAATCTAGACATCTGGAAATAGGGTGCAGGGCATTCTAGATGGAGGGAAGAGGATGTGCATTTGTTTAGATGTTTGATAGCAAAGAGGGGAAGAATAGTGTGGTAATGGAAAAGGAGAATTGAACAGGTAAGCAAGAAGGAATGTGGGACTAGATGACAGGTGTAGAGAGTTTCAATATTAGGCTGAGGATTTTGGTCTTAGGTAAATAAATCATTGAAGGCTTGGAAGAGATGAGTGGCAACACCAGTACTGTTTTAATAAAAATACCTAATCACTTTTATATAGATAGGTTGAAGAAGGGAGAGATTTGGAGGCAAGAACACCAGTTAATAAGCTACCACGATAGTCCAGAAAACAGGCAATGAGAAAATTGACTAGGGTAGTTGTAACAATAATTGAAAGGGAATGAAGTGTGAATGAGAATAGCACAGAGATGTCATAGCTATCACCGAACAACTAATTGGACTTGGGAAATGAAATATGGATAGATGGGTGTTACATCTGTTATCCCTTGCCATAATCTATGTAACAAAAATTATAAAACTTTGGTGACATACAACAATAAGAATTTGTTTTTGCTCATGTGTCTATGGGTTGGCTGGATAAGTCAGCTCCCTGAGTTGGGCTGTGGAAACGAGGTGCTCACTCAGGAATCTGCTTATCTTGGCGGGGCTCTAGACTATGTATGGAGCCTATCTGGGACAGCAGGGCTGACTCTGCTCTTTCTAGTCTCTCATCCTCCAGCAGGCTGATGCAGGCATATCCTAGTAGTGAAGGCAAAGAAGCAGGAGTGTGAGCAGAAAGGCACAGAGTGCTTCTAATTCTATGTAGCATATTTGGTCTCATTAGTCAAAGCAAATTATGGGATGAAGCTCTGGGTCAGACTACAGAGATGAAGCTCTGTAGTCAGGAGGGGACTACAAAGTCAAGGAGTCAAGGATGATTTCAAAGTTTTGTGTCTTCCTTCAAAATTCAGTTCAAGCATCACTTCTGTAAAATCTTGCCCACAGCTCATCTGGGGTTTCACTGTTTCTTTTGCATGTTTGCAATATTTAAATGATCATACATTACACTTGTCCATTTGTGTGTCAGAGGGCAGAGACCATACTGCTCTGCAGTCCAAAGGTCTAGTTTCAAATGCCAGCTCTACCCCTTACTAGCTATGTGATTAGTTCTTCTTGTGTCTCTATCTGTAAAAGGGACATAAAAGCACTGCCAACCACATGGGTCATTTTGTGCATGACACAAAGTAATGTGTGAGAAGCCTAAGAAATGTAGATGGTTATTATGATTATGTGTTTTTATTTTCATTGATACATACTTTGTGCAGTGCTTAACACATAAAAGTCATTTTTTAAAAGACTTGAAGAAATGAATGGAGGAACAAGTAGATGAAATGTATGGGATGAAGCAGGTGATACTGAACATGAAACACAGCAGAGGGATATTTGATTAGATGGGCACTAAAGAGGCAGAAGGAGATTGAATTAAGAGAATCAAAGAAAAGGCTGGCCTTCAGTGAGGAAGAACATTTTTGCCTGAGCTAGCATGTTTATTTTGAAAGCCTCTTTCAATATCAAGCATTTTAATTAATCACAGTTATATTTTTGGTTTTTGATTTTTTTTTTGCTGTCTTAATATGGTTTATGGTATAGAGTGCACGTCAAGTGGTACTTTCTCTGGATCAGTTAAGATCAAGGAAACCCAATCTATCCCACCAGATAACACGTTGTTTTAATTTCTAAATGTAATGGGCTGGAGGAGATATTTATCAAGTTCACAGAATGTTTCTTAATAAACATGCCTAACTTAAAATATAAAGAAAATAATTTCTTTTTCCAAGATATTAAAATATTTCAGTCTTCTAAATCTGTACAGCAGATTTCACAAAACACAATGCAATAATTCCTTTGCTTGACTTGTTGAAACAGCCATTCTCTTGACTTGACCATTAGGGAATAAGTATGTTTATTCCCCATGTAATGAGGCCACAATGCTTATAACTAGGTGAGAAGTTACTTAAGAGCAATACTCCTGGATAATGGTCTGCTAGGAGCAATAAAATTTAACATAGCACATGAACAGTTGAGGTTCATGTATTAAAACGCAGTATCTAAGAGGAAAAAACCTACTACCTATTATCCAGGAAATGAGCACTAAGTGAATGGGAAGCCATATTGAACTTTCATCAGCTTCCTATTTTAGAAAAGGATTCCTATTAGAGTTAAATGTGTGATATTTGACAATCACAGGATAAAAGAAGTTACAGTTGGATAGGAACTTAAAGTGTCCCATCATTTCTCTGATAGTGTTAGGGCAGCCAGGCAATTTTTCCCAAGGACATGAAGAGAAAAAGCCAAGTAGGATTGTGCTAGTTGACTGTTGTAAGGCCAGCACCCCAACAATACCTGGTGCTCAGTAAGTATTTAGAAAATAATTAAGTAAATAACTGACAAAAAACTATGTGTTAAAATAAAATATTAATATTAAAATATAATTCTATTGAAAAAATGAAGAGTTATAAAGAATATGTAATATGCCATCTTTTAATCAAGAAGAGATATTATTTCTCTAACTCAATATTTATCTCAATGATGCTTTAGGAAATAAGCTAAAATAGGAAAAGTGCAAAAGTGAATTTAAGGATAATTAGTTTGCCCCCAACAAAAGATCATTTTAAGTGAGTTCATAAACAGTGGAGATGAAGAATTTTATATTACATAGAGAAAAGAAATCAACTAGCCCTTAGCCTTGAAAATTGAAACTAAGAATTAAGAAAATGAGTTGATTTGGATCATATCTCTACAATCATGTTATAATAGAAATTTTGCAATAGTTTTTAGAACAAATCAGAAATGAATCATTGATTTGTGGAAGGAATATTTTTCTAAGAAAATTGTGTTATAGCACATTCTTCCCTTCAAATTTGAACTTCATATCACAGATGCCAACAGGCTCATTTTTGTTTCCTAGACTCATCTCTTCATCTTATCATTCTTAAATCATTGTATATTTTTATAGGATGTATCAGTCATTTAATTTTATTTTATTTTATTAATTTTTGTGGGTACATAGTAGGTATATATACTTATGGGTTACATAAGATATTTTGATACGGGCATACAATGCATACTAATCACATCAGGGTAAATGGGGTATCCATCACCTCAAGCATTTATCTCTTCTTTGTGTTACAAACAATCCAATTATACTATTTTAGTTATTTTTAAATGTATAATAAATTATTATTGACTGTAGTCATCTTGTTGTACTATCAAATACTAGATGTTCTTCATTCTACTTAACTATATTTTTGTAACCATTAACCATCCACATCACGCCTCCCCAACTACCCTTCTACACTCTATCTCCATGAGTTCAATTGTTTTAATTATTAGATCCAACAAATAAGTGAGAACATACAAAGCTTGTCTTTCTGTGCTGGGCTTATTTCACTTAATTTAATGACCTCCAGTTGCATCATGTTGTTGCAAATGACAGGATCTCATTCTTTTTTATGACTGAATAGTACTTGATTTTGTATATTACCACATTTTCTTTATCCATTCATCTGTTGATGGACCTTTAAGTTGCTTTCAAATCTTGCCTATTGTGAATAGTGCTGAAATAAACATGGGAGTGCACATATCTCTTTGATATACTGATTTTCTTTCTTTTGGTTATATACCTAGCAGTGGGATTACTGGATCATATGCTGGATCATATGGTATTTTTAGTTTTTAGTGGAACCTCCAAACTATTTTCCATGTGGTTGTATTAATCTACATTCCCACCAACAGTGTACAAGGGGTCCCTTTTCTCCACATCCTCGCCAGCATTTGTTACTGACTGTCTTTGGATAAAAGTCATATTAACTCAGGCGTGATGATACCTCATTGTAGTTTTGATATGCATTTTCTCAGGTAATGATCAATGATGTTGAGAACCTTCTCATATATGTTTGCCATTTGTATGTCTTCTTTTGAGAAATGTCTATTCAGATCTTTTGTCCATTTTTAAATCAAATTATTAGATTTTTTTCTGTAGAGATGTTTGAGCTCCTTATATATTCTAGTTATGAACCCTTTGTCAAATGGATAGTTTGCAAATATTTTCTCCCATTCTGTGGGTTGTCTTTTCACTTTGTTGATTGCTTCCTTTGCTGTGTGGAAGCTTTTTAACTTGATGTAATCTCATTTGTCCATTTTTGCTTTCGTTGCCTGTGCTTGTGTGGTATGGCTCAAGAAATCTTTCCCAGTCCAATGTCCTAGAGAATTTCCCCCAATAATTTCTTTTAGCAATTTCATAGTACAAGGTCTTAGATTTAAGGCTTTAATCTATTTCGATGTGATTTTTGTATGTGGTGAGAAATAGGGGTCTAGTTTCATTCTTCTGCATATGGCTATCCAGTTTTCGCAGAACCCTTTATCGAAGAGACTGTCCTTTCCCCAGTGTACGTTCTTGGCACCTTTGTCAGAAATGAGCTCACTGTAGATGTATGGATTTGTTTCTGAGTTCTCTATTCTGATCCTAGGTCTGTATGTCTGCTTTTATGCCAATACCATGCTATTTTCATTACTATAGCTTTGTGGTATAATTTGAAGCCAGGTAATATGATGCCTCCAGCTTTTTTTCCCTTTGTTCGGGATAGCTTTGGCTATTCTGGGTCTTTTGCAGTTTCATATAAATTTTAGAATTTTTTTTCTATTTCTGTGAAGAATGTCCTTAAATTTTTGATAGGCATTGCATTGAATCTGTAGATTGCTTTAGGTAGTATGGACATTTTAACGATATTGATTCTTCCAATCCATGAACATGGAATATCTTTCTATTTTTTGTGTGTCCTTTTCACTTTCTTTCATCAATGTTGTATAGTTTTCATTGTAGAAACATTTCACTTCTTTGGTTAATTCCTAGCTATATTACTTAATTTGTAGATACTGCAAATGAGATTGCTCTATTGATTTGTCAGATTGTTCATTATTAACATATAGAAATGGTACTGATTTTTGTGTGTTAATTTTGTATCCTGCAACTTTACTGAATTTATCAGTTCTAACAGCTTTTTGGTGGAGTCTTCATGTTTTTTCAAGTAAATATAAAATCATATCACATGCAAACAAGGATTATTTGTCTTCTTCCTTTCCAATTTGTATGCTTTTTATTTCTTTCTCTTGTCTAATTGCTGTAGCTAGGACTCCCAGTACCATGTTGAATAACAGTGGTGAAAGGGGGCATCCTTGTCATGTTCTAGATCTTAGAGGAAAGGCTTTCACTTGGTCCCATTTAGTATGATACTAATTGTGGGTCTGTCACATATAGCTTTCATTATATTGGGGTATATTCTTTCTGTATCTATTTTTAGGGTTTTTAATATGAAGGGATGTTAAATTTTATCAAATGCTTGAGTAGCATTAATTGAAATGATCATATGGTTTTGCCTTTCATTCTGTTATGATGTATCATATTGATTGATTTGTGTATGTTGAAACACCCTTGAATCCCTGGAATAGAAGAATGATCTTCTTAATGTGCTGTTAAATGCAGTTTGCTAGTATTTGTTGAGGATTTTTGTATCCATATACATCAGGAATGTTGGCCTGTAGTTTTCTCTTTGTTTATGTGCCTTTGTCTGGTTTTAGTGTCAGGGTAATACTGGCCTGATAGAGTAACATTGTAAGTACTCACTCCTCTTCTAGTTTTTTGAATAGTTTTCAGTACAGTTAGAATTAGTTCTTCTATAAATGTGTGGTAAAATTCAGCAGTGAAGCCATCAGGTCCTGGACTTTTATTTGCTGAGAGACTTTTTATTATGGTTTCGCTCTCAGTACTTGCTATTGATTGGTTCAGGTTTTGGACTTCTTCATGGTTCAATCATGGTAGGTTATATGTGTCTAGGAATTTATCTATTTTTTTCTGGGTTTTCCCATTTATTGGCATATCATCGCTCATAGTAGCCTTTAATGATCCTTCAAATTTTTGCTATAAAGATTGTAATGTCTAACTTTTCATCTTTGATTTTATTTATTTAGGTCTTCTCTTTTCTTAGTTACTCTGGCTAAAGGTTTGTTCATTTTATATTTAAAAAAAACAACTTTTCATTTCATTCATCTTTTACATTGTTTGTTTCCATTTAATTTATTTCTGCTCTGCTCTCTATGATTTCTTTTCTTTTGCTTATTTTGGGTTTGGTTTGTTCTTGCTTTTCTAGTTCATTAAATTGCATCCTTGGGTTGTTTATTTGAAGGTTTTCTACTTTTTGGATGTAAGTTTTTATAGCTATTAACTCTCATTTTAGGACTGCTGTCCTTGTATCCCATATGTTTGGGTATGTTGTGTTTCCATTATCATTTGTTTCAAGGAATTTTTTGCTTTCCTTCTTAATTGTTTTATTGGCCCACTGGTCATTCTGGAACATATTGTTTAATTTCCATGTGTTTGTACGGTTTCAAAAAATCCTGTTGTTATTGATTTCTAGTTTTATTCCATTGAGGTCAGAGAGGATACTTGATATACTATCAAGGTTTTTGAATTTTTTAGGCTATTTAGTGGCCTAAAATATGGCATATTCTTGAGAATGATCCATGTGCTGAGGAGAAGAATGTGTATTCTGCAGCCACTGGATGAAATGTTCTGTAAATATCTATTAGGTCAGTTTTGTCTACAGTGCAGAATAAGTCCATTTTTTTGTTAATTTTCTGTCTGGATGATTTGTCTAATGTTGAAAGTGTGGTGCTAAAATCTCTTGCTATTTGTATATTGGTATCTATTTCTCTCTTTAGCTGTAATCATATTTCATTTATATGTCTGGATGTCTATATGTTTACCATTGTTATATCCTCTTGTTGAGTTGACCCCTTTATTATTATATGATAATCTTCTTTGTCTCTTCTGACAGTTTTTGTCATGAAATCTTTTTTGTCTAATATAAGTATAGGTACTCCTGTTCTTTTTCTGGTTTCCATTTGCATAGGATATCTTTCTCCATCCCTTTATTTTTAGTCTATGTGTGTCTTTATTGGTGAAGTGTTTTTCTTGTAGGTGACAGATCATTGGGTCTTTTCTTTTCTCTCCATTCAGCCACACTATGTGTTTTGACTGTGAGTTTAGTCCATTTATATTCAATGTTATTAGTAATAAGGGCTTACTCCTAGCATTTGATTATTTGTTTTGTGGTTGTTTTGTGATCTTCTCTTTCTTCTTTCCTTCCTTCCTATCTCCGTTTCAGTGATGGTGATTTTGTCTGATGGTGTATTTTGACTTCTTGCTTTTTATTTTTGTGTATCCATTGTATATTTTTTTATTTGCAGTTACCATGAGGCTTGCCAATGATATTTTATTTATTTATTTATGTATTTATTTATGTATTTATTTATTTATTTATTCATTTTGAGCAGAGTCCTGCTCTGTCACCCAGGTTGAAGTGCAGTGTCATGATCTCGGCTCACTGCAACCTCTGCTTCCCAGGTTCAAGCAATTCTTCTGCCTCACCCTCCTGGGTAGCTGGGATTACAGGCATGCACCACCACTCCCAGTTAACTTTTGTATTTTTAGTAGAGATGGGGTTTCACTATGTTGGCCAGGCTGGTCTCGAACTCCTAACCTCAAGTGATCCACCTGCCTCAGCCTCCCAAAGTGCTGGAATTACAGGTATGAGCCACTGTGCCCAGCCACAAATGATATTCTATAACCAATTATTTTAAACTGATGATAGTTTAAACTGATTGCATGAGTAACAAACAAGCAAAGAGAAAACTATTAAAAACTCTACACTTTGTCTTCATTCTACTATTTTTTAACTTTTTGTTGTTTTTAGTTATATCTTATAGTAATAAGATATATGTCTTGAAAAGTTGTTGTAGTCATTATTTTTTTACCTTTAGTCTTTCTACTCAAGATATGAGTAGCTTGCAAGCCACAATTACAGTGTTACAATATTCTGTTTATTTACTATTACCAGTGAGTTTTGGACATTCAAATGATTTCTTATTGTTTATTAACATCCTTTTCCTTCAGATTGAGATACTTACTCCCTTCAGCATTTCTTGTAGGACAAGTCTGGTGTTGATGAAATCCCTCAGCTTTCATTTGTCTGGGAAGGTATTTCTCCTTCATATTTGAAGGATATTTTTACTGGATATACTATTCTAGGATAAAATTTTTTTCCTTCAGCACTTTTTGTCATGCCACTCTCTCTTGGCCTGTAACGTTTCTACTGAGAAATCTGCTACCAGATGTATTGGTGCTCCATTGTATGTCATTTATTTCTTTCCTCTTGTTGTTTTTAGGATCCTTTCTTTATCCTTCAGCTTTGGGAGTTTGATTATTAAATGTCTTGAGGTAGTCTGATTGGGTTAGATCTGCTTGGTGTTCTATAACTTTCTTGTACTTAAATATTGATATCTGTCTCTAGGTTTGGGAAGTCCTCTGTTATGATCCTTTTCAATGAACTTTCTACCCCTTTCTGTCTCTCTACCTCTTCTTTAAGGCCAATAACTTAGATTTTCCTTTTGAAGCATACCATCTGTAGGTATGCTTCATTCTTTTTTATTCTTTTATCTTTTGCTTCCTCTGTATTTTCAAATAGGTGTCTTTAGGATTACTAATTCTTTATTCTGTTTGATCAGTTCTGCTGGTATGAGATTCTGATGCATTCTTCAATATGTCAATTACATTTTTCAACTCCAGAATTCCTGCTTGATTCTTTTTAATAATTTCAATCTCTTTGTTAAATTTATCTGATAGAATCCTGTGTTCTTTCTCTGTGTTATTTTGTTGAGTTTCCTCAAAAGAAGTATTTGAATTCTCTCTCTGAAAGGTCACATATCTCTGTCTCTCCACAATTTGTCACTGGTGCCTTATTTAGTTGGTTTGGATAGGTCATGTTTTCCTGGATGAGCCGATGCTTGTGTAAGTTCATGTCTGTGTGTTGTAGAGTTAGGTATTTATTGTAGTCTCTGAAGTCTGGGCTTGTTTGTACCCATCCTCCTTAGGAGGGCTTTCCAGGAATTCAGAGACTTGGGTGTTGTGACCTAAGTTTCTGGTCACTACATCTGTATCTGCATTAGGGGCACACCAAGCCCAGTAATTCTGTGGTTCTTGCCAACTCACAGAGGTCCCAACTTGGTGGTCTTGGATAAGATCTGGAAGAATTCTCTGGATTACCAGGCAGAGACTCTTGTTCTCTTCAGAAAGAAACTGAGTCTCTTTCTCTGTGCTGAGCTGCCTGGAGCTGGGAGAGGAGTGACAGAAGCACCTCTGTGGGCACCATCATTGAGCCTGCTATAGGTCAGACCTGAAACCAGCACAGCATTGGGTCTTGCCCAAGGCTCACAGTAATCACTACCTGATTATCACCTATGTTCACTCAAGACGCTAGGGCTCTATAATCAGCAGGTGGCAAAGACAGCCAGGCTTGTGCCCTTCCTTTTATGATGGTGAGTTCCCCCTTGGCCCCCGATGGGTTCAGAATTGCCATCCAGGAGCCAGGGTCTGCAGTTGGAAACCTTAATTTTTGACCACCAGAGTCAAAATCTACCTAATGCTCCATTCTACTGCAGTTGAGCTGGGACCCAGGCCACAAGACAAATTCCTTCCTACTCTTCCCTCCCCTTTCCACAAACAGAGGAATCTCTCCCCATGGCCACCACCACCCCAGGCCCATGGTGAGTATTGCCTGGCTCCGCTAATGTTCACTCCAGGCCCAAGAGCTCTTCAGTCAGCTTGTGGTGAATGCTGCCAGGCCTGGGACTCTCCCATCAGGGCAGTGTGTTCCCCTCTGGCTCAGGGTGGGTCCAGAAATGCCATCCAGAAGCCAAGCCCTGGAATCAGGGCCTCCAAGAGCCCACTGTGGCAGAGCTGGTACCTAAGCTGCAAAACAAAGTCCCCTTTAGTATTCCCTCTCCTTTTCTTAAGCAGGAAGAGGCCTAAATTATTTTCTATTGAAAGCCCTTCACATATAAATCTTGTTGCTTTTCTCCTCTGACCTAAGCTACCACAGCCTCATGTTTTATTGGCTGTGTATGAGATTCAAGCAGTTCTCCCAGGTCACTTTATAAATCTTGAATCTTTTGCACTTTTAGTCATCAGCAAACTGAATTATATAATTAGACAGCATAAGCAGCTGATAATCTTCAAAGCACCGATTGACAAAGATGTTGTCTGACACCACTATTGGTACTACAAAAGAAGGGATATTTGAATGGGCATTAATTTTATGGTGCTTAGTTACTAATTAATACTTTTTTATTTGTATAGTTTGTGTTCCTAAACCAAACATAGCTGTCCGTCTTCAGGCAATCAATATAATAGATGAATGATATTATTCATTTTGAGTACTTTATCTGAATAGTAGTTAGGGGATGCATTGGCTGTGTACAAAATATCAGTAGGCATTAGATTCAAATGGAATTTTCTGAGAAATATTACTGTTTGGATCATCTTAGAAACTCCTAACTACAGCTTACCTGCTCCTCTAAGAGCCTCCATTCAACATATATAAATACAACTCTCTAAAGCCTGTTATCCCTACCACACCTGACTTCATCAGATTCACTCATCAAATTAGTCTTTTATGAAAAGTCGCCACTGTTTCAATTAAACCAAGTGTGAAGGCCATGGGAAAAAAGAGAAGTTAAAGTATGTGATATTTCTTCCATCGGACTCTAAAAATAAGGCCTTTTCCACCTATCGTCAGTTCAGTTCTGATTTCACTTTCTAAAAGTTTGAAAGTGAACTCAGGAAGAGATATATATTCATTGAGACTACTTTTTAGGGCTAGATAAAAGTTAAATGTATACTTACTACTGAATATACAAAATTATGCATATTAACTTCCTACCCAGTGCCATAGTTAAAAAATGACAGGCTAATTGCTTAATGGTAGAAATTATAAGCCTTCAAATATCTTAAATGACTACCTACAAATATAATGACTTAATTTATTATATCCAAAACAAGCATAGACTACAAGTTAAATGAAATAACATTTCCCTCTTCCTTACATAACTTATGTGGTTATATATCATATGGAGAATGAGAACATTAGAAGAATGTCATCAATGTGTTCAAACTCTATGAACCATAATTCTAACAGCCATAAAGGCAAAGCCTTGTGATTATTCTATATTCAGTAGGGGGAAAATATTTTCTGATCAGTTTATTTTATAACAATTTTGATAGTACAGTTTCATTTGTTTTCTAACATAAATGTTCTGAAAGTCTTACAAAATTAGTATCCATACTGTAAAATGGTTGACTCCACACATAACATTTTTATATTGGCAATACTATTTATAGCCATTCTTGTTATTATGAAAAACGAGTCTCTTAACTCAACTTAATTTGCTGCAATCCAAAAGTACTTATTGAGCAACCGACCCCAGGGTAGCAATTGTGAAGATTTAAAAGGTTATAAGATTTATTTGCTCCTTTAATTAGATTATAATCTTGTGGTATAGATAACATTTACCAATATGAAAATATCTCAGACTTAAGAAATAAATTGAGGTTGTTTCAAAATTGTGTGACTTCCATAGACAGCTACTTGAGCATTCCCAACTTTTTGGAACCCCCTTTCCTTTACTATTTAAATATAATATTATAGCATTGCTTCGGTCTCATGTACTATAAAAAAACCAATAACCACTCCAATACCTGAGAATTATTAGTGAGGCATTTCTCCTAGTTTCCTCTTGCTACATTTTCTGATTCTGCTCTTTCACTATTCACACTCAGCATCTCACCTCTGCAGCCACTGCCTGTGGTTGGCATACCTGTGCTCCCATTGGCCACAACTGAGTCCTTCGCTTCTCCAGAATACCAAAGACACAGCGTAGCTGTGTGTAACAGAATTTCACTGAGGATTTAAGATAGTAGAAGGTGGGTTTACAACATAGGACAGCCTTCAATTTAAAACTAAATGTTTATACTCTTTAGTTAGTCCTAAGCATGAGTAACTTCTCATTGTCCACTCTTCCCTAAAGCTATTGAATTAGCTACATTTTCTCAAACTCTCTGTCACCTCTTCTTCTCCAGTTCCTACAAGTTTTCTACTCTCTCTTATCCAGGACATCAGATAATCTCATTTTCTACCCTTTAATTTTGAAGATCAATTTGGCACTCTTGTAATTCATCTCCCAAAGAATCCTTATTTTCCTAAAAAAACAAGAATCATCTCTCCTAATGTAATAATGCCACTTGTCTAGTATGTCAAAGTGGTTGTAGTCAGTTCGTGCTTTAAACAGAATTTTTTAAATGATCATATTACATGAACAAGTGAGAATCAGTAAGCGAGACCTCTCTGCAGGTTGGACTTGTCAATCAAGCTTCATGAACAATAATGGTAATTAGAGCAGACTGAAGGGTCCTTAGTATTTCAACAGATTGAAAAGAAACAGGAAGATATTACATGATAGCAGAACAGAAAAAATAAGGGTTGGGATGTGGAACTGTGCCTGATTATGTGGGAGAAGGAGAGAAGAGTTGCTTGACTAGAATTGTGACATGGTGAGTAGTAGAATATGAGCTCAGAGAAATGGTTTGTAACCAATTATAGGATAACTAGAGAGGACAAAAGGAGTTTAGATTTGGAACAACAGAAAACAAGAGATAGATGCTTTTCAGGATTCTTTAACAGAAGTGAGAAATGGTAAAAGAAATATTTGTAGAAGATTAATCTGGTGATATAATAGGAGATATGTTGATGAAATAAAAGGCTGGAGGCAGAGAAATGAGTTTATATGATTTGACAGTAACTGGGAAGGGCACTGAGGAAATGAGTGAGCCTCGTGACACAGGAAGGGAGGAGGGTGGTGGGAATTGAGAACTAATGCAAAGGACCCACCATGTTCAGGCTTAAGGCTGCTGATCAGCAACGCGACCCCCGATATATTTAGTGATAGCTGGGACCCGGAGGTGAATAGGGGAGGAGAAGAAATCTTTCCTCTGCACGGCTGGGGTCATGCCATGAGCTAGAGTGGTAATTTTCCACCTCATCTGTCTTTTGAGACATCATTTGTACCTATCAAGACTTATGTACTACTGTTTACTAATATAGTTATGAAAAATTTTTAAATATTTAAATATCTTAATCTTTTACAAACTATTGTTGTTGCTTTTTATAACAAAGGTAATCAATGTTTAAAAGGAATAAAAGGTAAAAAGGATATAGGATAAAAATGTCAATGATCTATTATCTACAAATATACCCTGCTAACATTCTGCAGTAAAATGTACTGTATTTTAACAGATTAACATATAACATATTAAAGTCAGTTTTGTCTTGTGCCTAGTTCATATCACTTTTTATATTATGTTTTCTATAAAGGCTTTAAAAATAGAACAGTTATTAAGCTTTCTGCATTGTTTTCTCCCATTTAAACTAATAAAGAAAATGAACACTTGGTATTAGTATTGACAGGGTAGAATGGTTAAAATAAGGAAGCTGATAAAATAATGCACATTTCTCAAATAGAGCCCCATTAACAGAAATGTGTCTCAGGTTTTGATTCCATTCATTTTGGCCCATGATATTAGCTGTCTCAGAAACATCATATTTGCAAATCACTCATGTTTAATAAAGACAGGCATTGTGCAAGTACTGAAGCTGAGGAAGATATCTTGCATTCTGAGTTTACACTGGCCCCAAGATCCACAAAGTATTTGCTTTTTAGGCACTAGCCATTTGAAAAGCGGTTTTCTTTCTGCCACTTATGGCAGCGAAGAATGAAAAAATATAGTAAAATACATTATTTGAAGCCAAAGACAAAGCAGAGTGCTCTCAGATGTCATTTATTTTACTTAATAACTCTAGCCATAAAAAACTCAGCAAATCCTATAGAGAGCTATTTTTTTACAATTGAGAACTATTTTCTGTCCATAAATGATGACATATGTATAAAGAAGAAAAAATGACTTGCCATTATCTCCTTAGGGCTCTAAACATAGCTAGAAGTAAATTTTAAACTGTTATAAGTTTGCAAAGTTTTTGATACATAGCAGTTTAGCCATTGCTTTTCTGGGCTTACATCTGACAACAAAATATATTTCCTATTTAGTAGGAAAGTTTTGTAGACCTTCACTACTCCCTGGAAAATAAGATGTCTAGGAAGAAAGAATGAGCTAACCTGGTATAATTGTGTGGGGTTTTGGAGATGAGATCTGGTCCATATTTGTCAATGACCAGTGTGTTGACCTTGGGAAGGTTATTTAATCTCTCTATATTTGAACTTGATGCTAATATACTTACAAGCATCCTTCTCATTAGCCAAGTCATTACTTAATATGGAATACTAGAAGAAAGCAAACCAACAATGATTATTTAAGCACAGAGTGTTGAAAAGACTGTTTACATATTAAGCAAAATTATCTACCCATCACAGAGGGAAGCCAAGCTGCCCAGTCATTCCGTAGGATCACTTCATTTTGCACATTTGCAAATAGATTCCCAGTGATCAAGCAACAAAACAGAACAGCACACATCTTTGACATTTTCAGTAGCCAAAAATGCTTGGGAGTAATTTTAACTAGAAATAGTATGAATAAATTGTTTCAAGGACGATGTCATATTAGAAGAGAGGTCAAAACAATGTACATGTAGCTCTACATGACTATCTATTGATGCTTTAATATTAAAAATAACTTTCAAGGCATAATCCTCAGCCTTCTGTTTCCTCCTCACCTTCCCTTGAAGGGTTTATGACTCCAATACTTTGGGCTATGCAGTACTTTTATTTCTATGAGTTGAAGAAAGCAATAGTCCTAGAAGAAGATAGGAAGAAAGAAGCAATCGTAGATTTGTCATTAAAGTTTCCTAAATAACCAGAGAAATGACCAGATAAATAATTTCCAGAATCTGAAAATAGTCTAGTGACCCAAATAGGTACGTCTGGCTGCCCTTTCCAAGTTCTGTGGCTTCTAGTGTAGTTCTTACAAGTTCAAGTTGCTACTCTCAGACAATACCACTATCCTGAGTTGTACTAAATAAATGTAAAAGCTGAAAAGAAGCCTCCTTGGTTGTTCATACCTTCTGAAAGAAAACAAAAATTAGATCATCAGAGAGAGATATGTCTTCTACTCTTGCTTTATCTTCAGATAAGCAACACATATTTGTGGAGTACCCATTAGATGCCTAGTGCTGTGCTTGGCACTGCTGGGGAAAAAATGAAGATATGTCAGGTCTCTTTCTTTAAGAGATTTCATTTAATTCAAGATGAAAGATAAAAATACATCACAGAGCCTGCCTATCAAAGTAAGGTCCAGTGGGCCAGCAGCACTGGAATCGCCTGAGGTTGTTAGAAATGTGGAATTCCAGACCTTAACTCAGTCCTAATAAAGTGGAATCTGCATTTTAACAACCACCCCCAGGTGATATATATGCATATTAAAGTTTGAGAAGCAATGACAAATACAGCAATATTTTCTCCCCCTACAAATATATTCCCCACAGTTATAAATGGCCACGGGCCCAACTACATGCCAAGACTATTAATGTGCATGTTCATGGAAGACAAGGAATCACTTAAATAAAATTTGCTCAAATGTATCTAATATACATTAGACAATCTTAGCAAAGAGGCTGTTGTTTATTTTTAAAGCTACTGTAGTACAAAAAAAAAAAAGACTATTTTATTTAGTGTGCTATTTGTAGACTTCCAAAAGGTAAAAATGATTTTGTTAAAGGGGGACAATATCTACTATCTGAAATATCTTTAGTTTACAAGGCTATGAACATAGCACCAGAGGATATACAACTCTATTTACTAAAGATTTTGTGATTTGGTGATTAAGATTCTTGTCTCTTTATCCTTTTTCTGGAACTAGCATATCTCTAGGATATGTCAACAAAAAGAGATACCAGGTAGGGAAGGATTTTACTCAAAAGATGTTTAAGTTTGTGTGTAAGATTAAAAAAGTATCAGGCTGAATTGTGGAAGGCTAGAGCATGTAGGTTAAGTACATCATAAGTAATATAATATGAAAGCATTTTTATATTTAAAAGTTATTTGAAATCAATGACAGTCCATTTTTGTATTCAATAAAGGATAAACTTGAAATCAGTTTAAAAGTGATAGTGATATTAGTATAAAATGTACATTTGCTTTGTATCACTGAACCATGAAGCAAATACCTAAGAATTCTTAATGATTACTAAATTGCTCTTCACCATACTGATTACACGTTGTACTGTATTGTGCAATTAGGTCGATGTATAATTACACATTACATTCATATTACTATTCTTACACATTTATTCTTTATTCTTTTAGATCCCTTAAAGAATCAATGACATTCCTTGAAGTTAAAATAGATTTCATTTACATTAATGAAGATTTTGATTAGTTAATGGAAAATAATTATATGCAAGTTCCTGTACTGGATTACCCTTTACAATTTTTTACATGACTTTCCACTCTTTGTTTGATATTAGCAATTGTGGTGTGAAATGCAGTATGAAAGAAGAAGAAAGGTGTTCTTACTTTCTTTTTTCTAACTCCTTTTAAATCAAAGTTATAATTTCTGAACATCACATTTGGGTCAGGCTCAGTGGCTCACACCTATAATCCCAGCACTTTAGAAGGCTGAGGCAGGTGGATCGCTTGAGCCATGGAGTTCAAGATCAGCCTGGGCAACATGGTGAAACTCCGCCTCTACTAAAAATATTTTTTTAAAAAATAGTGGAGCATGGTGGCATACATCTGTTGTCCTAGCTACTTGGGAGGCTGAGGTGGGAGGATCACTTGAATCCAGTAGGTGGAGGCTGCAGTGAGCCATGTTCATGCCACTGCACTTCAGCCTGGGTGACAGAGCAAGGCCCTGTCCCAAAAATAAAATAAAACCATGTTTTGTCATTGAAGAATGATTTGTTTTTCTCCTTTACAGAGATCAGTTCCCAATAGTGATGAAATCTTACCATTAACTATGAGAAATAAATATAGCTATGATCCTAAAATAAACTTAAAGTACACTTACATCCCTCTAGATCTGTAAAAATGGGAGTATACATTTGTGAGAACACTGCAAAGGCATTTGCTTCCATCCAAGGTGTTTGTCTTGCTTATTCTGATGCTCTGGGTTACAGGTTAAGAGACTGAAAAGGTAAGAATATAAATAGCCAATGCATTCTCAGACTACATGTTTTGTGCTGTTGTTCTCTTTGTTTGGTTTTGTTTTTAAATAAGAAAATTATCACTACCTCTAAAGTATTAAGTGGTTCTAAAATGCAAACGCTTTGGAAAATAAATATAAATATGTAAGTATATAAGGAGAAATATAAAATACATATAAAAATGTGTTTAAAATTTTATCACTTAAAATGTCAAAACATTAGGAATTTTTGTTCCAGAATATAAAAGTTCTGATTTGTCATATACCTTAATTAGGTACAAAACTCTTTTTCCTAAAACAAACACATTTGTTATAAAAATATTATTTCAATTTCATTTCTAGTAGGAATGTCTTATAATTTGAGACACATAAAAAATAATTTTACTCATATGCATGAAAGAATCAATATCCCATCTTTTTCAGTATGAGGTAGCCAGTTTTGTGGGACAGCTCCATACAGACTTATGGAGATGATTTTTCAAGTTTTATACTGAAATGTATACATTGGACAATGCCAATTTTATTAGAATGAAATAAAATAAAAAATTGGAAAGGAAAGACAAAAACTATTCCAACAGCCCTCTGCAATGAGGCCAGACTCAGGACAGAAGAAAATTCTTAGAATTACAGGTTTCATACTAAAGTTTCTCTGTTCATTTTCTTAATGTTTATTCAGCCAAGATTTTCCCTTACATAATGTTTTGTGAGTGGAAATCTGAATCATCGTGGAATGGTTACACATTTTTTAAAACAGTGCCCTGCCATTAAAGACTTCTATAATGATGGGTAAGGAAAATGGCATTATGAAAACATAATGATTACCCATGTGGAGCCACAAGACGCTTCACCTGCTTTACAGAGCTTGGAGTAAATTTTCTGCAAAACTATCGCAATGTCACAGACAGAATTTTGCTAATATTCCAATTATGTCAGTTAAATGTTATGTTTGTGTTCCAATCCACTCAAACATGTGATAAGTGGTATGTGATACCCCCTTGTCTTATAGTGTGTTGTATGAAAGGATCTTTTCTGGAATACAAACTAAATGGTATTTCTTTCTTCACAATTCTGTTAATTTCAGAGTATATTATTAAATATACACAAGTGCCTACTATGTGAGTAGTACAAGGCACTGTGTTAGGTTCCACAAGGGATGGGGATAGAACAAGACAAATTGGGACACAAACAGACAAGAAAATTACAATCTAAAAAAGAAGAACAAGCAGCTAACATTAGTTAGTCTAATATATTCTCCCCCCAACCAAAAAAAAAAAAAAAAAAAAAAAAAAAAAAACACTGCCATGAGAAAGGTTCAAACAAGGAGCAGACATGTAAAGAAGACAGACAATTTCTTCATAGAGAAGACTGAAAGAGGAGACACGTGATCCCGTGATCCATATAGCAGTTGTAATGTTTTCAAGTTACACATTCAGGTTCACATTAAAAAATTATTACCACCTTAGTTCCATGATTTTCGGTCATCAGATAATGCCTCATTGGGATCATCTAGGATGTGCAAAATTCTCCCACGGTCTACATCATCGGTTCTGTGTTCAGTCTTCTCTCATCCTTATTGCCAGGGCTCTTTCATAGCCCCTCCATGCCATGGAAGACTCTGGCACTATTACAGGCCCTCTCTTCTTAGACACACTGAGCTGCTCTGGGGATTCCTAATGAGAAGTTGGAAATTCCTCCTTTAAACTTCTCCCTCTAATTTCTGGGGTCCTGTAAATATTTCTGTAGTTATTATCACCTCTCTTCTAAGGATGAAACAACCTTGGGGTGGAGAGATTCGGTGGCAAAGATCCTCACGAGTGTGCCCAAATGTATAGCTTCTTGAGAAATGGCTAAGATTTTGCCATACTGAGATGACAGAATGAAGCACTCCCGGGAGATAGCAAATAGGTAACTTTAGAGGTCAGCAAGGCATCCAACTTTCCTGGGTTTGTGAGCAGGAGGTGGCTCAGTCAATTACTCCACTCACAGTAAAATCAGAGTACAATTCAGTAAAACAGCCATTCCCTCATTCTGTTTTACATGAACCTAGTACATCTATCTTATACTTTACCCAACCACACGTCTCTTTGAGGTCATGCCTGATTATAACCACCCTCAGCATCTATCTGAGTACCTGGCCTAATCTAGGTTTATAATTGATTAATCAATAGTTCCTATAAAGGGAGTTTGGGGATTTATATTAAATGGTGGTACTAAGTATTAAATCATTGGATACTTGGAAGGAAAAGGTAAAGAAAGATTATACAGCTCCGATAATGTTGCTTATATATTATCCATTTCATTTCCACCCCCTCACCAACCAGTTTTGCTGAGAAGCTTTCACCCTGAATAAGCACAGAAAACCTAGTGGACACTGCTATCATTGACCCTGCACCTTAAAAAATGTAAAAGCCAGATTGTGACAATGTATCCATATGAATCAGCAGTCAATGCAGCATACATTTAAATACATAATGCTCTTGTAGAGTTAGGTGGATTCTTAAAACATTCCCTTATAATAGGGTATACCTCATGTACATCTAAAGGTGCACTGAACAACTAACTACTTTTTAAATAGAACCTAACCATTGATAAATTTATGTAATCATCTACGTAGAAACAATACATAATTTCCCTCTATTTAGCGGATGACATATCTGAATTACCAGTGAAGCATTTAAAGACCACTGATTTATAATATGGCCTTGACTTTTCCACTATTCATGTACAAACATATTTTTTACCAAAACAAGAATATTTTGCACGTTGCACTTTTTTACCTCTACACATTTATCCATGGCTCTCCTCTGTTCTCTTTTCTCTATTACTGAAACTGAAATACTCCATATCCTTCAATGCAGTGCAGAGACCACCTCTTTCAGCATGCTTTTGAGGATTACGCCTCCTTTGAACCCCAAGCACTTGTTACATTAATGATTATTTGGCATTCAGTAACTACTTGCCTGTGTTCAGGCCTGTGTGTTTGTGCATGCATGTGTGGTTTGTGCATTTAAGTTCACACATATTTTATTTATCTAAGATCAAAAATAATAATTATGTTTATTGTGTCCTTTCCATATGCTATGAAGAGTCCTATGCATTTACATGATTTAATACATTGAATTATCACAACCTTTCATTTATTGCATATTGTGAATCCCATTTTATGGATGTAGAAAATGAAGCATACAAATTTGGTAATCTACTATAGCAAAACTGAGGTATGTGAAAATATAATTACATTACTTACCCTTAAAATTAAGCCCAATATTATTAATTAGGTTGTCAAAATAGTATTTTAAAAATTAGAGACATCATAGCCTAATACTTCTCCTTCACATACATAGTACTCATTTGTACTTTAGCCAAAAAGCACCACGCAATGACTATGACAAGGTGACTCTGGCCTCAGTTCCTCACCTTAAGCATGTAAAACCTCTGGGCATCCCAGTCTGAAATGAGAAAAACAAATTACTGTGTTTCCTAATTCATTGTATTTTTTTTAATTTTTATAGAGTCAGGTAGTACAAGTGCATTTTTGTTACATGGATATATTGTGTAACAGTGAGGTCGGGGCTTTTAGTGGAACCATCACCTAAATAGGGTACATTGTACCCAACAGGTAATTACTCATTCCACACCCACCTCCCACCCTCCCACCTTTTCGAGTCTCCAGTGTCTACTACTCTACTCTGTATGTCCATGTGTCCACATTGTTGCGCTCCTACTAGGTGAGAATGTGCAGTACTTGACTTTCTGAGTGATTTAACCTAAAAAAAAAAGGTTCCCAGTCCCATCCATGTTACTGCAAAAGACATGATTTCATTATTTTTTATAAATGGATAGTATTCTATGGTGTGTGTGCATGAGTGTATGTGTATAATATATGTGTGTGTATTTTGTGTGTGTGTGTGTGTGTGTGTGTATATATATATATATATGTTTCTCCAAGAATGTATACACATTTTCTTTATCCAATCATCTGCTAATGGACATATATTGATTTCATGTCTTTGCTATTGTGAATATTGCTGTGATAAACATACGAGCACAAGTGTCTTTTTAATATACTAATTTCTTTTCCTTTGGGCAAATACCCAGTAGTGGAACTGCTGGATCAAATGGTAGTTCTATTTTTAGCTCTTTGAGAAATCTTCACACTGTTTTCCATAGAGGTTGTACTAATTTACATTCCCACCAACAGTGTATAAGCATTCTCTTTTCTCCTCATCCTCACCAATATCTACGTTTTCTTGACTTTTTAATAAAAGCCTTTCTGACAGGTGAAAGGTGCTATCTCATTGTGGTTTCAATTTGCATTTCACTGATGATTTGCGATGTTGAACTTTTTTTTCACGTTTGTTGCTGCCTGTATGTATTCTTTTGAAAAATGCTCATGTCCTTTGTCCACTTTTTAATGGGGTTATTTGTATTTTTCTTGTTGAGTTATTTTAATTACTTGTAAATTCTAGATATTACCCTTTTGTCAGATACATAGTTGGCAAATACTTTTCTTCCTTTTGATAGGTTGTCTGTTTATTCTGCTATTTCTTTTTTTTTTTTTTTTAATCATACTCCATGATTTTTAATATATTTCTGAAATCTGAAATACATACATATTTATTTAGCATTTTTAAATGTAAATTCACTGATGATATTATCCTACAGATTTTTTTTTTTTTTTTATTATACTCTAAGTTTTAGGGTACATGTGCACATTGTGCAGGTTAGTTACATATGTATACTCTGCTGACTATTTCTTTTGCTGTGGAAAAGCTTTTCAGTTTGAGTCTCATTTGTCTATTTTTGTTTTGTTGCATTTGCTTTTGAGATCAGTCATAAATTCTTTGCCTAGGCCAACTACTTCATTGCATTTGTATGAGAAAAAAAGAAAAACCAGAGGAGAAGGGTTTCATTAGTTATCAAAGATCATACAAATGTAAATGGTATTCTAATATTTTCCCCACACTACTGTGCATTAAGCAAGGACTTAATTGTGAACATTGTACAGAGGAGGAAAATAGGTTCAGTGAGGCTAAGAGACTCTTCATGGGCCAAGGAAAGAACCAAAGGCTGCAGTGAGGCTGGACCTCAGTGATCTGAGTTTCCTTCCAGTGCGCTTCTACAGCAACATGCCTCCGCTCTGCAGATGGAGATTTTGGTAGAGTTTCACATCACCATGATCAACCTTCACCTTCAAAATCAAGAGAAAAAGAGACTGAAACTTTGGGATCTAACTTAGGGATCTCAATGTTGGATGAATAACTGAATAAAAATGACAGCCTGCATTATCAACTTGTGAGTGTTATTTTTCCATTACACAAAAGTACCGCTAACCACCACTTTGCAAGTTTTCACATGCTACCATGATGATCAGTTTCAGACCTCTCTGCCAAGTGGGAATGGATTTAAAGCTTTGTGTTAATTTAATCATTTTCTTCTCTCTTGAGAGAGGCAACAAGGCCACCAGTTGGCATCCTTTTGATTTAGCATTTAAAATAGTTCATGATAATAGCAGAAAGATCCTGTCATCATTTTTACAAGGATAGTTTTATTGGTGGCTTTTGTTCTAACTCCAGTCTTTTACACATTGTGCCCCTACAATAAAGCAGTTGAACCCACTGCACAGACTGATTTGATAGATGGAGAAAAATATATAAGTGCTTCTGACATGTCCTGGGGCCACCTGAGTCAGGTTCCCCTTCTGGTAAATAAAGACCAACACATTATGCGCAATTAGATTAACCACACAAATATGTTTACATTTTTCACTCTCACACACAAAAATAGAACATATTTAAATTTTTCACCGAGTAAGCCAATAAGAATAAAATAATATGTCTGCTAAGTATGTTTGCTTTGTCACCTTCCTTGAAAAGCCTGGATTATACTTCCTTTTTGGTACATCAAGTGGTATCGATTTTTCCTTATTCTAATTAGGATCTAGTTTCAACTGTTCAGTTCCTGTGGAGTTTGGGCTCCATCATACAATATTATTAAAAACAAGAGACGGTATTAGCAGTAGGGTGATGCATCCCATTTCCATCTCCCCCAGGGAAATAATGGAAGTGCCGTTTCCCAGAGGCTGCAAGTGGCCTCTGGATTTTCATACTCTGCTCTTTCCTAACTGTAGAGCCATTTTGGCCAAGTCTTTGAACATCTCTGGATCTGAATTGTTTAGCTTTAAAATGGGAGGATAAGTTAACATCTTAGACCTCCTCCACTTTTAAATCTTCTGGGAGCCTATGAAATATTGAAAAATCTACTATACACATAACATATGGTGGGGAACACAAAGATGTCATCATTGTCCTCAGAGAGTTAGTGGTAAATGTAGAAAAGATGTAAGAAACTGAGGATGCAGATATTGGGAGTGAAAAAGCTTAGTTTTTCTATTAGTTATCTGAGGCCGTCATAACAAAATACCACAGACTGGGTGGCTTAAACAATAGAAATTCATTTTCTCAATGTTTTGGAGAATGGAG